>NC_000022.11:33406533-33558048 GCF_000001405.40 Homo sapiens | reverse complement strand
TGCTTTAAAATGACACCAACAGCTGGTGTCTGTAGAGGTGATGTGCTTCTAGTACAGAAGGCGCTGGAATTCAGCTGGGAAAGGGCGAGGCTTGGCCTGTTCTTGGTCAGCAATCATACAGTTTTGTTAAAAGTCCTGGGCATTTCTTTTTAATCTGTACGGGGCCTTTAGAAGTTCTCCTGGGCCGGGCTTAGTGGCTCGTGCCCATAATCCCAGCACTTCAGGAGGCTAAGGCGGGTGGATCACCTGAGGTCAGGAGTTGAAGACCAGCCTGGCAAACATGGCGAAACCCCATCTCTACTAAAAATATAAAAAATTAGCCAGGCATGGTGGCAGTCACCTGTAATTCCAGCTACTTGGGAGGCTGAGGCAGGAGAATTGCTTGAACCCTGGAGGCAGAGGTTGCAGTGAGCCAAGATTGCACCACTGCACTCCAGCCTGGGCGACAGAGCGAGACTGTCTCAAAAAATAAATAAATAAAAAGTTCTCCTGCACTCCCAGTATTGATAAAGTTCCCTCCTCACTACCAGTTTTCATGGTTTTGTTTAGGTCTTTAACGTCCTCTAGCTCCTAGTTGATTTTCCACTTGGAAAATTTTGATGACCTCTTCCATTATTTCCTCCTTGTACCCTCCTGCTTTCTCTGCCTCTCTTAACCAGCCTGCCTTCTACTCAGAATCAGAAACTAGCGCTTTGATTTTCTTGATAGACACTACTGGTTCTTCCATTGGTCCAGCCAAGATGTACACCATTGAAGCAACACCAAGGATTTTTTTCCCTGGCAGAATTGGGTGAAGAGGTTTTAATTATTTTCAGATTAACTTTGAAGCAAATCTGCCTTGTCTTATATATTAGAAAGATCATTTAACTTCTCAGAGCCTCGTTTTTGTTGTTGTTCTATAAAAATGAGAGAATGATACATTAATAACCGCCCCATAGGGTTTATTTTGGTGATTAAGTCAGGTAATGGCTCTGTATTGCACAATACCTAATAAGTGATAGTTCCCTTCTTTTCTTTGTATGTCTCAGGGTTGTTTGTTTGTTCGTGAAACAGTCTCACTCTGTCGCCAGGCTGGAGTGCAGTGGCACAATGTCAGCTCACTGCAACCTCTGCCTCCCGGGTTCAAGTGATTCCCCTGCCTCAGCCTCCCGAGTAGCTGGGACTACAGGCGTGCACCACCACGCCTGGCTGATTTTTTGTATTTTACTAGAGACAGGGTTTCACCATGTTGGCCACGCTGGTCTTGATCTCCTGACCTCATAATCTGCCCACCTCTGCCTCCCAAAGTGCTGGGATTACAGGCGTGAGCCACTGCAGCCAGCCTCTTTTTTTTTTTTCTTGTTCTTCAGCCTGAAATTTCAGAGAGTTCACAGACCAGAAACCAACCCTAACCTCTCCCTACCTTCCTGAGTTCCTTTCTCCCTCCTTCCCTCCTTCCCTGCCTCCCTACCTGCCTGCCTTCCTGCCTGCCTGCCTGCCTGCCTCCCTCCCTCCCTCCCTCCCTCCCTCCTTCCCTCCCTCCCTCCCTCCCTTCCTTCCTTCTTTCCTTGCCTTTTGCACCCATTCAGTCATTCATTCTTTCATTAATTTACTACCTTCTGAGGCTCTTGGCCTGCCCTAGGCCCTGGGGGTAAAATATTAACTGAGACAGACCTAGCTCTACCCTCCTGTTGCTAATATCTATTAAATGTGTTTTATGTGTCATGCCCTGAACCATCTCATTTAGCCTTCATAAAACTCTTTAAGTCTGTTGCCTGAAATCACTAACTACAAGTTAGTGGCAAAACCTGGGCTGAAGCCAGGCTGGTCTCAGAGCCGACACTTAACCGCTAGATTCTAGATACATCTGAACACATGGTTACATGCAAGTGTAGAAAGTCTCTTGAAAGGGAAAAGTCAGGGTGAGGTCGAATCACATTTTAGGGAAAGCATTGCTAGTGAGGGAAGTTGGAGGGAGTCAGGAGGGCTTCTAAAGGGAGAGAGGTGGATGCATTGGCCTCTGGTCTCACTTAGAGGGAGCAGCATATGTGAAGCCCTGAGATCCAGAGAGAGATTAGAGAGAGTGATACAGACAGAAACTGAAATAAACATTAAATCTACACTTTTTTTTTTTTTTTTGAGATGGAGTCTCTCTCTCTCCACCCACTCTAGAGTGCAGTGGCGTGATCTCCACTCACTGCAACCTCCACCTCCCGGGCTCAGGCAGTTCTCCTGTCTCAGCCTCCAGAGTAGCTGGGATTACAGGAATGTGCCACCACACCCGGCTAATTTTTTGTAGTTTTAGTAGAGATGGGGTTTCACCATGTTGGCCAGGCTGGTCTCAAAATCCTGACCTCAGTGGATCCTCCTGTCTCGGCCACCCAAAGTGCTAGGATTACAAGCATGAGCCACCACGCCTGGCCCTTCAATCTACTTTTCAAACAGACCAGACAGGCTCCTACCTTTGGCCCTCTGCTCTGATGTTCCTGTACCTGGAATGCTGCTCCTCCAGATCATTCCCTGTCTTGCTACCATAATCCCAGCCCTTCGAGTCTTTGCCCAAACCTGAGCTTCTCAGCAAGGCTTTCCCTGACTGTCCCATTGAATCCTAAAGCCTGAGACACCATCCCATTTTTCTCTACTGCTCTTTCATATTTTTTTTTTCAAGAGGACTCATCACCTTCTAATGAATATCTAATTACTTATCAAGAGGGCTGCTCTGCCTCACCCCATAGGGAGGACAGACCCAGGTACCAGGATACAGCTGGCTCCATCTGGTTATTGTGTGTTCTTTCTAGGGACCTCCCACGGATACCAAAATCTGCAGATGCTCAAGTCCCTGATATATAAAAAATTGCATTTGCACATCATCTGTGGACATCCTCCTGTATGCTTTAAATCATCTCTCGATTATTTATAATTCCTAATACAATGTAAATGCTAAGTAAATAGTTGTTAGACTGTATTGTTTAGGGAATAGTAAGAAGACAAAAAAAATCTGTGTATATTCAGTACAGAGGCAGTTTTCTTTCCAAATATTTTCAGTCCAGGTTGGTTGAATCCACAGATGCAGAACCCATGGGTGTGGTGGGCTAACTCAGTGTAAGCACCAGGAAGGCAGGGATCTTTGTCTGTTTTATGCCTGATATGTCCCAGCACAGAACAGTGCCTGACACATAGAAGGTGCCCGATAACTATTTGTCAAATGAACAAGTAAAGCGGATGTTTCTTGGTGAAGTGAGTGGTGGGGAATAAGGTAAGAGAGGTATAAAGGGTCTTATTAAGTGTTAGCTTTGGGTCTTCTCCAAAGGTCATTGAAAGACAGTTTAGAAGATTTGAAAAGATCCCTTTGGCTGATGTGTGGGGGTGATATAAAAAGTGCGACAGGAAAACAGTACTTTCAAAAAGAGTTGGCAGCAGGTAGGAGGCTTCAGTCTCAGCAAAAGACCACTGTGGCCCGTAGCGGGATGTTAGCCTTGGAGTCAGAGCAAGGGATGCAGATTAGAGATGAATGGGGACGTAGAGTGAATAGCACTGGACGGCGAGTTCGGTTTTGGACATGCAGAGATGGGGTAAACAGGTCTAGATCTTACAAGAAGGGTCGGGGCCAGGGGTCTCTTCAGGTGTTTGTTGTTGTTGTTGTTTTTAATAAACTTGAAATAGAGCTTTCTTGGTGTTAAAATAGGTATTCTCACCAGATTGTTACAGTTTCCTTTTCTGAATGGCCAGGTGAGCCCCAGTGTAGAATCCAGTTGGGCAGCTCTGTAGTGCGTGGTCCTGCAGGGACAGCAGAGGGGATTTGATGAATCTAACACAGGGCTCATTGGATGGGGGCAGGATGAAATCAGCAAGCACAAAGACTGGGCACGGTGTGATTGGCAAGCTGTGATTTGCGAGGGGGAGCAACGGAACGGATGCTGAGCAGAACTCATGAGGAGGGATCACTGGACTCACCCTGATTGTGTCCTGAGCTCCTCCTTGTACAGCCCACACCCAGTGAATGATGTTCACTGCTGCCTCCAGCTGCCGCTGCGTTGAAAAGTCAGCCATGCCCTGGGTCCCTAGCTCTGTGCTGCTTACTGGGTGGGAGTGAGGAGCCTCACGGATCCATCACCAGGATTCCATGGACCTCTCTATCAGTTGTGGGTCTTTCTTAGACACACAGGGCTCAGACTCTCACGGAGGTGAGCTGGAGGACCCTTTTAGGCTCCTCACCAAGGGGGAGGAAAGACATCTCTGGAGGTAGATGTGAGATGTTTCTTTCCCCACTCCCTTTCCCAACTCAAGTATTTACTCTCAGTCAAGGGCCCTTCCTTGGGGTTGCTTTGCATCCTCTTGCCATCTTTGCAACGTCGGGGTGTTGCTCAACTCTAAACCTCTGTTTCCTGTGGGCAAGATGGGGAGAATGATACCCATGGGGTATTGGCGTGAGGGTAACGTGACATGATACATTTCAAAGTCTTAGTGCTATACCTGACACAGTAAGCTCTTGACAGTGTTAGCTTCTGCTGTTATTAATATTAGAGCTATTTTGTTTTGTTTTGTTTTGTTTTTGTGACAGGGTCTTGTTGTGTCACCCAGGCTGGAGTGCAGTCGTGGGATCATAGCTCATTGCCACCTGAAATTCCTGGACTCAAGGGATTCTCCCACCTCAGTTTCCAGAGTAGTTGGGACTGTAGGCATGTGCTACCACGTCTGGCTATTTTTTTTTTTTAATTTTTATTTTTGCAGACACAGGGTCTCACTTTGTTCCCCAGGCTGGTCTCAAATTCCTGGGCTCAAGCGATCCTCCCGCCTCAGCTTCCCAAAGTGCTGGGATTACAGGCGTGAGCCACTGTGCCCCGCTGAGTCATTTTATTGTAATCACAATAAGATGGCTGTCTACATACCTCTAAACAGTTCAGGATGGGAGAGGTTCTTAATATCAGAGGAGACAATACAAGGCCTTGGAGTAAACACATTTCCAAAAATAATCTCTGTCAAGATGGGGAAAGAAGCCTGAGAAATGGTTATGTAAAAGCATAGGAGTTGGGGGTTTGCTCCTAATTGGAAAGAGCTGGCCGTGTATCTCAGTGGGGAAAGTACAGGCTGTAGAGTGGGATGATTCCAAGACCTGGGTTTGAGGCCCCACGCTTCCAGGCACTTCGCAATTCAGCTTCTCATTCTCAATGGGAATATTATGTTAGGAGCAAAATATGTAATTCACCTAGTATTTTGCAGGTGTTTTGTCATATTATCTCAGTTCTATGATACAGGACTTTGCACATTTTCCCATTTCCGAAACTGAGATGTGACTTACAAAAGCAACTTGACAGATGGTCTTTTTCTCCTGGCAAATGTTTTGATATATCGTACAATCAGCAGCCTCTTAGAATCCAGAAAATATGTTGTGATTATTTTTATTAGCAATATCTCTCTAGCTTTTCTTTTTATCTTTGAGTTGTACAGGGGAGAAGGAGGGCGAGTAGGACTGTAGACTAAAGGAGAAAGAGCTGAGTCAGTCAAAGAGAGGATTTGGGGGTCTTAGCAGACTCTTCCTTGATCAACTTTTATTGTTTGACCACAGGGTCCTGGAGCATCTGCACCATTGCTATTTTTTTTTCTTTTGTAAATAAATATCGTGCTTGTGTCTCCCGTGTTGAGATAGGTGCCATCTCTTGGTAAGCCCTCCCATGTGGAGACTGACTGTCTGTTTCCTGGAAGCAAGTGTTTGTATAGGTTGGGGGCAAGGAGAGAGGGGAGGTCAAGGGACAGAGTTGTGGTACAAAAACATCTGGGATTTCTTTGAGAATATCAGGAAGAAATATTGAAAAGCAGAACAGCATTAAATCCAGAACTCCAGGAAGCCTGCTCTGCCATGATGTCTCTTCTTGCTCAGACATTTATAAATATTTATTGAGCACCTACTTGTTACCATATGCACAAGTTATGCTCTTTAATGCTCAGTCCGTTAGAAATTCATATGACTGACTTAGCCTTCCTTGAAAAGATCTGATATTTCTGGGAACATTTTAGTATTACCCGTGATTAATGTGAATTTTTTAGCTAGATCACTTTTTTTTTTTTTTTTTTTTTTGAGACGGAGCCTTGCTCTGTCGCCCAGGCTGGAGTGCAGTGGCGCGATCTCGGCTCACTGCATGCTCCGCCTCCCGGGTTCACACCATTCTCCTGCCTCAGCCTCCCAAGTAGCTGGGACTACAGGCGCCCATCATCACGCCCGGCTAAATTTTTTTGTATTTTTAGTAGAGATGGGGTTGCTAGATAACTTTTAACATCAGCTGCTTTGAGTTCAAGAGATTTTGATTGCAGACACAGCTATTGTGGATGCGTAGAGGGGACAGGGCTTTCCAAGGACATTCTGGACAAAGAGGGTGAGTGAGTAGGTTAGGACCTAATAAAGGCAATAAACAAATCCCTTGAGGCAAGAAACAAATGGCTTGTTGAATGAATTTATGGAGATAAAGTCCACACCTTTAGAATCATGTGCTAAGAAAAGAAGCCAGTTTCCTTTTTCTTGTTTGTTCTAGATGTATCTTGTCTGGGAATCCCACATGAAAGTCAGGGTTACTCCTACTCTCCATAAGCAACAGGCCAAATTGAACTAATAGCCATGTGAAGGCTAAGCAGCAGCCTCATGATCATTGACAGCTCTGCCTTTTGAACAGTAATTCTGAGCCATGGAGAGGAGGGTAGCTGAAGTACTGGAATTACCTGTAGGGTCTTTTCAAATTGCACAGGTTCATGTCCACTCTTATCTCTGCACAGTGGCCTGCTCATCACCAGTGACTGGAGAATCTGCCTTAGTACGGGGTTTCTCCATGTTGGCACTATTGATATTTTGGGCTGTATATGTCTTTGTGTGTTTTTAACAGTTGTACAAATGTATGGGGTACATATACAATTTTATTGCATGTGTAGATTTTGTAGTGGTGAAGTCAGGGCTTTTAGGGTATCTATTATACGAATAATGCACATTATACACATTAATTTCTCATCATCCACCCCTTTCCCATCCCTTTACCCTTCTGAGTTTCCATTGTCTGTTTTTCCACTCTCTACATCCATGTGTACACATTTTTTAGCTCCCATTTATAAATGAGAGCATGTGATATTTGACTTTCCCTGTCTGGCTTGTTTCACTTAGACAGTAACCTCCAGTTCCACCCATGTTGTTTCAGAAGACATGATTTTATTCTTTTTTGTGGCTAAATAGTATTTCGTTGTACTGTGATATGCATCTGTATACCACATTTGCATTATCCATTGATGGGCACGTCGGTTGATTTCATGTCTTTGCTATTGTGAGTAGTGTTGTGATAAACATCAGTGCAGGTGTCTTTCTTATATAATGATTTCTTTTTCCTTTGGTTAGATATCTAGTGGTGGGATTGCTGGATTGAATGGTAGTTCTATTGTTAGTTTTTTGAGAACTCTCCATACTGTTTTCTTCTAATTTACATTCCCACCAACAGTGTATAAGAGTTCCGTCTTCTCCACATCCTCACTAATGTCTGTTATTTTTTGTCTTTAATAATGGCCATTCTGACTGAGTTTAAGATGATATCTCATAACTTTTTGTGGTGGAAGGGCTGTCTTTCACACTGTGGGATGTTCAGCAGTATCCCTAGCCTCTTCCCTCTATCCTATGCCCCTCCAGCTATGACACGCAAAAATATCTCTAGGCGTTGCCAAATGTCCCCTGAGGAAAATGTCTTTCCCTGTTGAGAACCACTTCCTTAATGACCCACTGTTACTGATGGAAATGTGTAGGGTCCTTTAGGAATATGTAGTGGACTTGGTAGTTTTAAGTGGTTAATAGCGACTGGCCCAAGAAATGAAATCTAAACCTTCCACAACTTCTATATATATATACATACATACATATATATATATGTGTGTGTGTGTGTGTGTGTGTGTGTGTGTGTGTATACTTTAAGTTCTAGGGTACATGTGCACAATGTGCAGGTTTGTTACATATGTATACATGTGCTGTGTTGGTTTGCTGCACCCATTAACTAATCATTTACATTAGGTATTTCTCCTAATGCTAACCCTCCCCCATCCCCTGACCCTGTGGACTGGATTAAGAAAATGTGGCACATGTACACCATGGAATACTATGCAGCCGTAAACAAAGGGTGAGTTCGTGTCCTTTGTAGCAACATGGATGAAGCAACAGAATGATGGGAAACCTTCATTCTGAGCAAACTATCGCAAGGACAGAAAACCAAATACTGCATGTTCTCACTCATAGGTGGGAACTAAACAATGAGAACACTTGGACACAGGGCTGGGAACACCACAACTTCTTTTTCAGTTCATAACTCATAGTCCACGATCCATGTGCTCTTTGACTTGACTTTTCTTAAACTCCTATTTTATGTGCTTCTGACTTGCTTTCCCTTCTTATTTGTAATCCACACTAGCCTCAAAAGATGCATGAACTGTGAATTTTCACTTCCAGGGCCATGGATAGTTGAACATCTAGTAGTGAATTTCCTCTTTCAGAAGATAAATAAATTCATTCATTCCCCTGGATCTAGAAGGATACACAATACCAAGAGAAAGTGTGATCGAATTAACCAGACTCAAAAGCATTCACATCCACAAAAGGGCACAGATTCAGTTAGGACCCATTAGAATTTATGGTCTTCCCTCGAAATTACAAGAGGGAACAACTTGCAGCTCATCTGCATATCCGTGAAGAGAGGAACCAGTGTATGCCATTCTATGACTATCAAGAAGACACAACTTTTTTTTCCTCCTAAATGCATATACATAGATTATTAGAAGCATCTAATATATGACAAAGACATATGTGGCCTGTCAATGAAGACAAATATGCTGGTCTCTTCTCTGCACCATGCACTGGGCTTGCCCATGTGGAAGGATGCAGCAGGCAGAGGTATGTATGCAGGGTCCTTATTGAGATGAATGGAGGGTCCTTATTGAAATGAATGGAGGGGCCTTTTAAAGGAACACTGTCAACCAGAGTAGGTCCTGGTGGAAATTACCAGCTTCCCTAGAAGCAAAGGGATACTTTTTTCATTAATAACCACCTCCATCAGAAAAGGAAGGTCTGGCTTTTATTTTCTTATTTGCCTCCTGATGAATTTTAGGGACAAAGAAGGCATGTGGATTTTAGGCTTCTCTTCGTTACTGCTTAGATGTCAAAAATGACCACAGGTCATATCCCATGGTAGCACAAATTCTTATGAGATAAAAGAGAAGATTACCCAAATCCAGCCAATAATCCTCTTTTTAAATTTTATTTTTGAGACATTGTATACTACAATATAAATAACAAAGGGAGCCTGTATTAGTCTGTTCTCACACTGCTGTAAAGAAATACCTGAGCCGGGTATGATGGCTCGTGCCTATAATCCCAGCACATTGGGAGGCTGAGACAGGCGGATCACCTGAGGTTGGGAGTTTGAGACCAGCCTGACCAACATGGAGAAACCCTATCTCTCCTAAAAATACAAAATTAGCCAGGTGTGGTGGCACATGCCTGAAATCCCAGCTACTCGGGAGGCTAAGGCAGGGGAATCGCCTGTACCCGGGAGGTGGAGATTGCAGTGAGCAGAGATTGAGCCATTGCACTCCAGCCTGGACAACAAGAGTGAAAAGTCCATTTCAAGAAAAAAAAAACGGAATGCCTGAGACTGGGTAATTTATATGAAAAGAGATTTAATTGGCTCACAGTTCTGCAGGCTGTACAGGAAACATGGCAGTATCTGTTTCTTGGGAGGCCTCAAGGAGCTTACAGTCATGGCAGAAGGCAGAGCGGGGGCAGGCATCTTACATGGCAGAAGCAAAAGCAAAAGAGCGTAGGGGAAGGTGCCACACATTTTTTAAAAAACCAGATCTCATGAGAACTCTATCACCAGAATACCAAGGGATGGTGGTAAGCCATTTGTGAAGGATCCACCCCAGTGAACCATTCACTTCCCAGTAGGCCCTACCTCCAACGCTGGGGATCACAACTGAACATGAGATTTGGGTGGGGACACAGAACCCAAACCATGTAAGAGTCCTTGAAACATCTGCCTTATATTGGGAGTTGGGGGGTGGGGTAGGGTTGGTCGGCAGTGATGGACTCTTTATTTTCTTTATTAAAAATAACTTTTTTATGGCAACAGTTTTAGATTACAGAAAAATTATGAAGACAATACAGAGAGTTCTGATATACCCTATAGCCTGTTCCCCTTATTATTAATATGGTACATTTTTTTAGAGAACCTGCTTTTTTTTTTTTTTTTTTTTTTTTTTTTTTGAGATGGAGTCTCACTCTGTCGTCCAGGCTGGAGTGCAGTGGCACAGTTTCAGCTGACTGCAACCTCCACCTCCCGGATTCAAGCAATTCTCCTGCCTCAGCCTCCTGAGTAGCTGGAATTACAGGTACATGCCACCATGCCCAGCTAATTTTTTTTTTTAAAGTAGAGATGGGGTTTCACCATGTTGGTCAGGCTGATCTTGAACTCTTGACCTCATGATCCACCTGCCTCGTCCTCCTAAAGTGCTGGGATTACAGGCGTGAGCCATGAGAACGTGCTTTTAAGAAGCCTGGTATGGTCTAGACCAGGGGTTCCCAAACCCTGGGCGCCAGACCGGTGTGGTCTGTGTCCTGTTAGGAACCAGGCGAGCAAGCATTACAGCCTGACCTTCACCTCCTGTCAGATCAGCGCTGGGATTAGATTCCCATAGTAGCGCAAACCCTGTTGTGAACTGCGCATGCGAGGGATCTAGGTTGCATGCACCTTATGAAAATCGAGCTAATGCCTGATTATCTGATATCTAAGGTGGAACAGTTTCATCCCCAAACCATCCTACCCTCCCCCCCACCACCCTTCATGGAAAATTGTCTTCCGTGAAACTGGTCACTAGTGCCAAAAAGGTTAGGGACTGCTGTACATACAGTTTAGGTATCATACATACATACATTAGCTTCTTTCATCTTCACAAAAGACCTGGCATATAACAGTTCAGTCCACATCTTAGAAGAGAAAAAAAAATGCTTAAAAAGGTTAAATAATACTAAATACTAAAATCTTCTAACTGGCAAGTGGCAGAGCCAAGATTACAACCATCTCCACTATTACGAGTTGATTTATTCCACAGGTTTTGAAGCACTGTTCCTCATCAATCTCTAAATCAGTACCGAGTTTGTAAGAATGGATAAGATGGGCCAGGTGCGGTGGTTCACGCCTGTAATCCCAGCACTTTGGGAGGCCAAGGTGGGCGGATAACCTGAGGTCAGGAGTTTGAGACCAGCCTGGCCACCGTTGTGAAACCCCATCTCTACTAAAAATACAAAAATTAGTCAGATATGGTGGCATGCACCTGTAGTCCCAGCTACTTGGGAGGCTGAGGCTGAGAATTTCTTGAACACAGGAGGCATAGGTTGCAGTGAGCTGAGATTGCACCATTGCACTCCCGCCTGGGTGACAGAGTGAGACTGTGTCTCAAAAAAAATAAAAAATTTAAAAAAAGAATGGATAAGATGGTTCACCTGCCTTCATGGAGGTCCTGTTCTGAGAATTCCGAAGGGCAGTCAAAGATAAAGGACTATGGTGAGAGAAAAGGGGGCATGTGCCAAACATAATGGTGTTGCCATGGAGACAGTCATTAATTTCGGAACCTGGGAAAGACATCCCCCATAACCTAAGAGAAATCGGTCCTTGTTGATTGGCTGGAGATCTCCACCTGGGAAAAGGGGAACAAATAGGCCATTCCAAACAAAAGGCACAGAATGGACCAAAGGCAGGAAGGCATGATAAAGCGTGGTGTGTTCCCTATGTCAGTTGCATTCCCTAAGGAATCAGGTGGTTGGTGAGATCGGAGGGTTTGGGAAGGTGATGGCAGATCGAAAAGTAGGTAGGAGCTAGGTCATGAAGGATTTAGCGTGCTGTGCCATGCCAAGGAGTTTGGCCTTTTCTGGAAGGCACTGAAAATCCACTGACAGTCTCATAAGGAGAAGACTGACCAGGTCATACTAATCAGTCCTCAGTGTAGAAAGGTGAGTGTGCGCTTGTCAGAGAAATGGTTTGGAGGAACCAAAACCGAGCATCCAATTAGGAAGCCATGTCAATAATTCATGTAAGGAATGATCATGGCCTGAACTAAGGCAGAGGTTGAGCACAACAGCAGAATCAAATGCTATTAAAGGGTTAAAATGGGTGTCCAGGGCACCTGCCATGGCTCACGCCTGTAATCCAAGCACGTCGGGAGGCCAAGGCTGGTGGATCCCTTGAGCTCAGGAGTTCGAAACCAGCCTGGGCAACATGGCGAAACCCTGTCCATACAAACATATAAAAATTAGCTGGGTGTTGGCTGGGCGCAGGGGCTCATGCCTGTAATCCTAGCACTTTGGGAAGCCGAGGCAGACAGATCACTTGAGGTAAGAAGTTCGAGACCAGCCTGGCCAACATGGCAAAACCCCATATCTGCAAAAAATACAATTAGCCAGGCATGGTGGTATGTGCCTGTAGTCCCAGCTACTTGGAAGGCTGAGGCAGGAGAATCTCTTGAACCCAGGAGGTGGAGGTTGCAGTGAGCTGAGATCGTGCCACTGCACTCCAGCCTGGGCAACAGAGCGAGACTCCAACTCAGAAGAAATTGTGTGTGTGTGTGTGTGTGTGTGTGTGTGTTAGCTGGGTGTAGTGGTGCACACCTGTAGTCCCAGCTACTTGGGAGGCTGAGTTGAACACAGGAGGCTGCGGCTGCAGTGAGCTGAGATCATACCACTGCCCTCCAGCCTAGGCAACAGAATGAGACCCTGTCTCTAAAAAAAAAAAAAAAAAAAGAAAAGGAAAGACATAGGTGTTCTGGTCAGGTGTAGTACAAAAGAAAAAAGATTTGTACATGACCTACTTTCCCAGTTTGCAGATTAAGTAGGGAATACAAAAGGAAGCGCAGATTTAGAGTGAGAGAATGAATTCGTCTCTTCTATGTCTGTGATTTTTCTTTTTGTTGTTGTGGTTTTGATGTTTCACTATAACACGTGCTTCCTCATGATATACTGTGTTTGTGTTCTACTGTGGTAGTTGTGGTGTTCTGCCTGCTCAGCATACGTTTCTTCCTTCCAGTAACATCAGCAGAATGACTGTTTTTCTGTTGAACACCATATCTCTCCTTGCTTGTTTCAGTTGGTTTTTAGTGTGTTTGAGGGGTGTTGATCTCATCCCTGGCTGAAGGGATAAGGACATGACTCAGTCCTGGCCAGCTGCAAGACCACAGACATCTCCCTGGCTATAGGGATTGGTTTAGGGCAGATTTGTGACCCAAGCTGAACCAATCAGAACTAGTAAGCATTACGCCAAGGCTTTTTGCTAGTGCTGTTGGGAAAGGTACTCGTTGTTGTTGTTGTTGTTGTGGTTGTTGTTTTGAGACAGGGTCTTGCTCTGTTTGCCCAGGCTGGACTGCAGCGGTGTGATCTCAGCTCACTGCAACCTCCACCTCCAGGGTTCAAGTGATTCTCCTTCAGCCTCCCAAGTAGCTGGGATTACAGGCGTACCACTACACCCAGCTAATTTTTGTAATTTTAGTAGAGATGGAGTTTCACCATGTTGGCCAGGCAGGTCTCAAACTCCTTACCTCAGGGGATCTGCCCGCCTCAGCCTCCCAAAGTGCTGGGATTACAGGCGTGAGCCACCGCACCTGGTAGAAAGGTACTCTTTCCACTCTATTTGCTAAACTGTGATGAGGCAAAGCTGGAACCACCATTTGTCATTTTGACACCGCCAGGAGTTTCCAAGACCACCCCTAAATTCACTGGTTTGCTAGGAGGACTCACAAGACTCAGTGTATGTCATACTCACAGATATGATTTATTACAGCAAAAAGATATAAGGCAGAATCCACAAAGGAAAAAGGCTCATGGGGTGAAGTCCAGAGGAAACCAGGCTCAAACTTCAAGAGTCCTCCCCCAGTGGAGTCACGCAGGACATGCCAATTCCCCCAACAATACGTTGTGACAACACACATGAAATGTTGCCCAAAAGGGAATCTCATGAGAGACTCAGCACCCAGGATTTTTATTGGGGGCTGGTTATGTGGACATTCTCTAGGACATACCAAAATTCTAGACTCCCAGAAGGAAAGCAGGTGTTTATGGTAAACCATTTTGTTTGCACAGTTTAGACACAGTGAGCTCTTAGAGAATAGCAGGAAGCTTCCCAAAACCCCAGTTCTCAGATGCCAGCCAAGGGCCAGTCTTGCAAGCAGTTCATCGTTCTAAGGACAGCAGTGTCAAGCCTGCCGTGTTACCTCTTTCCTAGACAGTCAGTTTGTCTGAGAGGGCAAACAGATCTGAGAGCTTGAAAAGAGAAGACAGATTTTAGATTACATTGTGTTGGAGTCTCTAGTTCCAGCCATGCCTGAAGCAAAATTTCTCTTTTTAAAAACTGCTTAAGTCTCAGTAAAGTCTCTGTCACTTGCGACCTTAAGAAGCATGCTGGCTGACAGAACCCATGCTAAGTAAATAAAATGTTTTCTTCTGACTTCTTTTCCACTTACTACCATCATTGTTTCCCTTCTTAAATTGTCAGAGCCTCCTTATTGACAGGGCCTTTACCCCCATAGCCTAGCATAGTACCCAGCTTATCATAGGCATTTGTAAACTTTTGATGCGTGGATGAGTTTTCTGTAGCCGTTTAGAGGATTAATCTGTTTAGATGGAAAAGGTGGTATCTGCAGCCTATTTATCCATGAAAGTGACCTAAATTAAAATTCTGACCAAGCTGAATTATCTCTTTGATCTTCCCTTTTACAAATTCCTCTTCACTGAGAAATTGGCCACCGCTCTTATTAAGTAGTACTACTTGGGCTCACCATCCTGGGCCTTTTTTTTTTTCTTTTTTTCTTTTTTGGCCTAATTAACTGTGTCACCATTCAAGCCAATTAGGTGTGTGCCTTACTGGGAGATCAATTAAAAAATAAATTAGTGTCAAAGTGGAAAGGGATGTGTCGAAAGATAAATTTTCTTTCCAGTCTTGTACAGAAGCAGCGGGAAACAGAGCATTTTGTAGCTTTACTTACATGCACACATGTAGGAAAGAAGGACTGGAAGGGATCTTAGAGGTCATGAGTTAGCTCAGTGCCTTTTGTTGCAAAGGTCAAGAAGGTTCTAAGGTCTTTGACTTGGATGATGCAATTTCAAGAGAACTTCGCTTGGACAGAAGTCTGTGTTTCATCTTTACTAGCTGTAGGCGAGTCCCTCTACCTTTCTGATCCTAAGCTATCTGTTCAGTAAGTGCTTCACTGAGTGACTATAGAAAGCATGAATGATTAGTAAAATAAATGGATTTGAGTAGGTGGGCCCAGTGTCTCTTTCAGGTCTATGGATCTGATGCAAATTCACACTGTCAGGGGCAAAGCCAGAACCATATAAAAGCGGGCATCTTTGGTACCTCTCTTGTCCTCATACCCTACATTTATCTTCCAGTAAGTCCTGCTGGCTGTGCCTTCAAGGTTCTATATACCTATCCAAGCCTACTAGATACTAAAATATTAGTTATTGAATAAACAAAATTAGGTCTCTGGCCTCTGGGCTCTTTGGATTCTACGATATATTTTTCTCCCTTCTGTTCCTTTAAAGGAGCAAATAAGAGGGACCCTGAAGTCACCAAGGGGACTTGAGTCACTGAGTTTATATCCGGCATGAAACACTGTCCAAGGCAGGAATGGAGACACAGAGTGAGGAAGAATGACGAAATCTGCCCCAAACAGGGTTCCCATGAGAGTTCAACTAATGAACAGTGACCTGCTGGCTCAGCCCAGGGAGAATCTCAAAACATAACATTTGGCTTCCAAATCATGCTAGATTGTAGTCTATATCTCTGGAGACAGATCTGGTAGCAGTTACAATGGAAGTGGGCTTTTATTCTTTTTTTTTTTTTTTTTTTTTGAGACAGAGTTTTGCTCTTGTTGCTCAGGCTGGAGTGCAGTGGTGCGATCTCGGCTCAATGCAACCTCTACCTCCTTGGTTCAAGGGTTTCTCCTGCCTCAGCCTCCTGAGTAGCTGGGATTCCAGGCAGCCGCCACCACACCCAGCTAATTTTTGTATTTTAGTAGAGATGGGGTTTCACCATGTTGGCCAGGCTGTTCTCCAACTCTTGACCTCAGGTGATCCACCCGCCTCAGCCTTCCAAAGTGCTGGGATTATAGACATGAGCCACTGCACCCAGCCTTGAATAGCTCTTAATGTTTCTCATAGACACGTACAGTAGGGGCTCAACCCCAAATGTTTGTTTCCTTGACTTAAGATTTTAGAGATACCCTGATATCCCATGACATCAGCACTGCCTTTTTTTTTTTTTTTTAATTTTTGGAAAGAAAATGTGTTTTCCTTGTAGAACAGTAAGACGATGACTCCAGACAGGATGAGGGCAGTCAGCACAAAAAGACCCTCTGGGCCTCATTGTAATAGTGAAGGAAAAAACAAGAATTGACTAGACCTTTTCAAGAATGGATTGCTCTGCTGGAGGCATCATTAAGGTTCTCCAGACTGATCCACTTTATACATGTGTGTCATGAATAAAACAATGCATGTCCGTATCAGCACAAAGGTAAAGAATGAAACTCAATTGTGTATATTTCTACTACCTACAGTCAGCTATTGTTAATATTTCAGATGCTTTTCTGTGCATATAGGATGGATTCTTTTATAAAATTGGGATCATAATATAATCCTGTTTGTATACCAGTCTTTTTCGTCTTAACTTTGCATCACAACCATTTTTCTTTGTTATGCTAAAACATAAAAGTCAAAAAGTCGGCTTGCCCTGTGTTCAAGTCCCAGCCCCGGCTCCGTAATCTTGGTGATCCAATTAACCTCTCCCTGCCATATTTTCTTTTTTTTTTTTTTTCTTTTTTTCCCCCACTTTTTTTGAGACAGGGTCTTGCTCTATAGCCCAGGCTGGAGTGCAGTGGCACAATCACGGCTCACTACAGCCTCAATCTCTTGGGCTTGGGTGATTCTCCCCCTGCAACCCGCCCCCCGCCCCCCCCCCCCCGCAACCCACCACCCCAGCCACCATGAGTAGCTGTAACTACAGGTGTGCACCACCACACCTGGCTAATTTTTATATTTTTTTTTAATAGAGATGGGGTTTTGCCACGTTGCCCAAGCTGGTCTTGAACTCCTGTGCTCAAGCAATCCGCCTACCTCCGCCTCTCAAAGTGCTGGGATTACTGGTGTGAGCCGCTGTGCCCGTCTGCCATACTTTATAGGAAAACTGGGCACCTTCTCTTCTCTGAGTGCAGTTGTTGTCAACACTGCCTTTAAGTTATAATCATCTGGGGAGCACGTGAAGAATAATGATGCCCAGGTCTACCCCATATCAGCCAAGTCAGAACCTCTGGTATGGGCAGTGGCCTGCCGTATTTTTGAAAGCTCCCTACATAATGCTGAAGTGTGGCCAGGGTTGAGATTCACTGCCCTAAGGTTGCTATCCCAGGATCTGCTGGCTACTGCAACAAAAGAGACACTGTGTCTTGGTTGTTTTGCCATGGGGGCAGTGGGGCAGGGTACTGTTTGGGAGGAGTGTTTGGAGACGGGATTAAAATCCTGGCACTTGTCCCTCCCAGGGAAAAGGGTCATCCTGTTTATTTTGTGTCAAGAGCTCAAACAGTGATCAAAATCCAATCCAACATCATAAATACCAGAAAAGGTCAGGGCTGGGCTGGTCATAGGATCAAGCACACACAGCCGAGCTGAGGTTGGCACTTAGTCAACTCCAAACTCTTCACTAGCAAACAGCACAGGGGGGGACTTGGCAAGGCCCGGCCTCTTGGCGCCCCAGTCACAGAATGGAGGTTCACATGGCTCTGTTGTTTTTGTCGAAGGAGGAGAAATGCCATTTTCTCAGCAGTCCTTCTCCTTGACTCATTAGTGTAGTTGGCAATGTGGTTACTTTTTAACTTCTCTGCAAATATTCATAGAAAGAGAAGGGGAGTAGAAGGCAGGAGCTGTTAATGTACACCAAGCTCCTATTTTTTGCAGGCCTCCACAGGGTAAAAGGGACTGGCCCCCGTGCACCAGGCCACTGCCAGTGGTGCAGATGAAGGACCTGAGCCCCCACAGGCATCTGAGGTCACATGGTCAGTAGAGCTGGGAATTTTATCCCGGGTCAGAAGAACTTCAAAGCCCATATTTTGTCTTATTACTACACATCTTAAGAGATTAGAGGGCCGGGTGCAGTGGCTCACACCTGTAATCCCAGCGCTTTGGGAGGGCAAGGCAGGTGGATCATTTGAGCCTAGGAATTTGAGACCAGCCTGGGCAACATAGCAAGACCTCTTCTCTACAAAAAAATACAAAAATTAGCCAGGTGGGTGTGGTCCCAGCTACTTGGTAGGCTGAGGTGGGAGGATCACCTGAACCTGGAAAATTTGAGGCTGCAGTGAGCTGTGATCGTGTCACTGCACTCCAGTATAGGTAGTGGAGCGAGACCCTGTCTCAAAAAAAAAAAAAAAAGTTTGGAGGATTTAATTAGATCATTTCTAGATATTCTGATCTTGATTGTGACAATCTAAAGGAAATTGCATTGTAGGCTATTTAAGGAACTTTCCACATAAGTTTGTCAAGCCAGCCTAGCTAATAGAACAGGATATGTTTGAGCAAGTTATTTACCCCATTGGGCCTATGTGGAATCCCACTGGCTCCTTTAATAAAAGAACATCCAGTCCTCAGGGTTGGTGATAAGATGAGTGTGAAGTGCGGATGCCCATGGGCATGGGGAATTTATTTACCAGTTCTTTTATTAAAAGAGCTGGCAGGATTCTGTTACCAGGACTTGCCTTTTTTTTTTTCTTTTAATCAGAAAATTTTGACAAAGAATCTATGAAGTGCAGATGTAGGGCCAACCATACTTTTCACACTTTTTTGATTGTATCCTACAGTCAGAAATACATTTTTCATCACAATCCAAAAGACATATGTGTGTATGTATGTTTATACAGGCATATATACACACATATATGCAGATGAGCAATTAAAACAATATTTTCGTAAAACAATACTTGACCTTACTATGTTCAGTGAATTTTTATATTTCTTTTCTAATCTATTTAATGTATTTTAATTTTTAAAATGCTTGCTCAGATCCACTGAATTATTTTCACAACCTTCAAATGTGTTACAAACCCTAGTTTCAAAAACACTGGACTGGAAGATATCCTAAAATGCCTTTTAACTCTGTATTAAGCATTCTGAAATTCAGCAAACTTGCCAGCAATCAGAGAGGAGATCAGAAGCTCATTTTCTAGAACCCATTTGCTGGAAGGGGCAGTGAGTAATCTCTTGTAGACGGCTTCCTTGTCCTCCAGTGGCCTTCCCCTTCATTGAGTTACTTTGTGTGGCCGTGCCAAGCATGGTGGCTGCCACGTGGTGGGGGGAGCCTTACATCTCATTTTCCTTACTTCCCAGGCAGGTGCCCTGTTTTATTTATCTCTGTATTCCAAGCATCTAGTAAGGCTCAACACTGGGCTCAGTAAATTGATGGGGAAACAAAATAAAAAATGTGGCTCCATTTTCGTTTTTCATTAACCTTCAGGGAAGATTGCACAATGTACCTTCGTAATGCTATTCATTTTTTAACTAGCTTCAATTCAGCTCAGAAATATGTATGGAAATATGCCTACTATGTGCCAGGTAATGTTGGACACAGAAGACACTAAAGAATGCGCAAGAAAGAGAAGTGATTCTTGCTCTGAAGGAAATCCTGTGTAAATGGAGAAGGGGAAGAAAAAAGCAAAAATAACTACAAAGTAATATGGCCATTGCTTGTGCAGAGAGTTTCCAAAAGCATGGTGCAGGCATAGTTGAAGGAGAGTTACTTCCACTTGGGGTAGGTGAGGTTGAGGGGAAGCACTAGAGCTGGGCTTTGAAGACTAGGCAGCAGTTTGTGAGGGTCCAAATAGCAGGGAATTCCAGGCAAAAACAGCACCTTGGAAAAGGCATGGAGGCATGATCCTGCAGGAGCTGTTTGAGGCACCATGACCTGTGGATGTGGATAAAGCTGAGAGTTCACCGGAAGCAGGCCTGCAAGGGGTTGGGCACTCTGCCTCAGAGACATAGGACTTAGGTTGGAATCGCAGGTCCTCCTCTTTCTACCTGTGATAGGCTGGATAATGGCCCCCAAAGACATCCTCAGCCTAATCCATGCACTAGAACCTGTAAAAAAGTACCCTGTATAGGGCCAGGCATGGTGGCTCACGCCCGTAATCCCAGCACTTTGGGAGGCCGAGGCGGGTGGATCACGAGGTCAGGAGTTTGAGACCAGCCTGGCCAGTATAGTGAAACCCTGTCTCTACTAAAAAATCCAAAAAAAAATTTTGCTGGGCATGGTGGCATGTGCCTGTAGTCCCGGCTACTTGGGAGGCTGAGGGAGGAGACTTGCTTGAACCCAGGAGGTGGAGGTTGGAATGAACCGAGACTGCGCCATTGCACTCCAGCCTGGGTGACAGACAAGCCTCCGTCTTAAAAAAACAAATAAACAAATAAACCCTGTATAGCAAAAGGGACTTTACATAAGCGATTAAGTTAATGGTCTTGAGATGGAGGGAGTATCCTGGACTATACAGGTGACCCCCAAATAGAATGAGTGTTCTTGGAAGAGGGAGGTGGAGGAAGATTTGGCTGCAGAGAGAAGAAGCGATATAATGATAGAAGCAGAGATTGGAGTGATGTACTTGGAAGATGGAGTTAAGGGCCACAAGCCAAGGAATACAGACAGCCACTGGAAGCTGGAAACAGCAGGGAATCGAATTCTCCCCAGAGCCTCCGCAGGGAACCAGCCCTGCCAACATCTTGACTTTAACCTGCTAAGACTGATTTCAGGCTTTCTGACCTCCAGAACTGTCAGAGAACAAACGTGTGATTTCAAGCCACGTCATTTGTAGTGAAATGTGGTACAGAAGGAATAGGAAAACTGACACACTTCTTTAAATGGCCTTTCACTGGGCGCGGTGGCTCACGCCTGTAATCCCAGCCCTTTGGGAGGCCGAGGCAGGCAGATAACCTGAGGTCAGGAGTCTGAGACCAGCCTGACCAGCATGGTGAAACCCCATCTCTACTAAAAATACAAAATTAGCCAGGCGTGGTGGCGCATGCCTGTAATCCTAGCTACTCAGGAGGCTGAGGCAGGAAAATCGCTTGAACCCGGGAGGCAGAGGTTGTAGTGAGCTGAGATTGCACCATCGCACTCCGGCCTGGGCAACAAGAGTGAAACTCTGTCTCAAAAAATAAGTAAATAAATAAATAAAATAAATGGCCTTTCAACTTTATTCCACCTCTGTAAGCCTCAGTTTCCTCATGTGTGAAAACGGGGATAGATGGGAGTCATCATGCCTGACGTGGCAGCCTCATCGGGTAAACCTCCTTCTGGTAAGGACGGTGTACGTGTCCTGAAACATGGGCCTTAGCCCACTCTGTGACGCATCATAAGGCCAAATTTATTCATGAAAGTAGATAAAGATGAAACAGGAGAGATAATTATGTTTTATTGAAAATGCTTGTTGACTTGTCTTTGTTTCTGGCAAAGCTACAAGTGTGGAGTGGAAAGTGCCTTATCTGTCTGGTTTATCACTCTCTCCTCAGTGCATAGCAGGGTGCTCAGCACGTTAAGCCTTCTGTAATTAATTGATAACTGATTAAATGCGTGCTCTGTTGTATTTGGAGATCCCAAATCATGAAACATACAGAAGGCCATTTGTAGAGAGAGATTACAGGAAGGGAGGCCAATGTGACCACCACAGTAATCTTCATGAGAGATGATTTTTCATATCTACTTAAAATCCTTCATGTTGCACTTTTCTGCTCATGCCCTTTCGTTCTGTTCTCAGAGCAAGAGAACAGCTGCAGATTGTCCTCAAATAGTCTCGTCTCTACCATTAATTTGTTCTCCAGCCTTCTCTTTCCAAACAAAATGACCCAAATTATTTTGGCTTTCCCTTGTTCAGAGTGCCGTATTGTAATGCCCTGCAGATGTTGCAAGAGGATGGCCCAGAGGACAAAGTGGGCTTGCACATGTGTTTTAAGTGACCATGCGGACTTTTTTGTTTCATGCGAATTATAAAACATGGCAACTTGAACACATGAGCTCATTTCCATGGTCTCTCAAAGTCCACCAAGATGGCAGGAAAGGAATAAAAGAAGGCGTAGTTCACAAGGACTAAGGTACTGGAAGAGGAGAATACAGACAAGGGTTGCCGGCAAATTTCAGGAGTGAAAATACAGATGGGACGGGGGAACCGACATCACAGATCAGCGATCCCACCGGGCAACAAGGCAAGGAGTGGGCTGATTGACTTTGCTGATCCCAGACAGGGCTCAGCCGTGAGAGGTTCCAGGTATTCCCAAATGCCACATGGAATGGATCCCCAGCCCTATGAGGGGGTTGGTCAATAGTTTGTATAAGAAATAGTTAGAACCCCTACCTCTTCTCCAGTTTATACAGCCAGGGAGATATTCCTCTTTGGTCCCTGCATATTGCTGCATTTTTTTTCTTTTTTTTTTTCTTTTGTTTTTGGAGTTTTACTCTCATCACCCAGGTTGGAGTACAGTAGTGCGATCTCAGCTCACTGCTTCCTCCACCTCCCGGGTTCAAGCGATTCTCCTGTCTCAGCCTCCCAAGTAGCTGGGATTACAGGCGCCTGCCACCACATCCAGCAAATTTTCGTATTTTTAGTAGAGACAGGTTTTGCCATGTTGGCCGGGCTGATCTCAAACTCCTGACCTCCGGAGATCCACCCACCTCGGCCTCCCAAAGTGCTGGGATTACAGGCATGAGCCACCGCGCCTGGCCTGCTGGAGGTTTTCTCTTGGACCCACAGCATCAGCGTGGCTCCGGACACACGCACTTCATTGTGCACAGATAGGGTTGCAGCAGGGTGCTGGAGTGAAACCAAGGAGATGAACAGAAGGCGTACGCCCTGACGGGGGAGGCCCCTCAGCCCCTCCTCTACTCAGAAGTCAGAAGGCTTGAGGCCAGTTTTCTGTCCTCCAGACAAGAGATTGTATGATTCCTCTTTGGGGAAACAGCCCAGCCCAAGATTGTGATAATGATGCTTGGGATATGCCAAGTGCTCATGTAAAGTCGTATTAAGTTATTACTCTCGGCTTCAACCCACCCTACTGGACCCTGCTCTGAGATGGTGGGGATGGGACTCTGCATTTCAGCACTGCCAGTATCTTTTGGGGGTTTTACAGATGGAGCGCCATGGGAAGACTGAGTCCAGAGGGGAAGAAGAGACTTGCTCCTGCCTGTCTGCTTCCTGTTTTTTGTAAAAATCAGCCCAGCATTGCAACCTCACCTGGTTGTGTTGTTGATTCTAGTTGTAGTCCATCCTCTCCCCAAACCCAGAACCAGCACTGGGGCAGCCCCGCCTCGGAGGCCTGGGTCCCAGCACTGTGGGGCTCCAAATTCTAATAATCCACACTCTTTCTGTGTTACCCCAGCCCTAGGATTGCAGTTGACACTTGCAGTCGCCATTTGTGTGACAGGTCAGCATTCCCCCTTTGCTCTTACATTTCCCATGCCTGGCTAGCAGCTCTTTATGAAGGTTCCGCTAGCTGGGGTTTCTTGACTGGACCCTCACTCGTGGATGCAGTAGAAGTCAGTGAGTGACTTCATCCCTCTTTTTTTTTTTGTCTGTTTGTTTTTGAGACAGAGTCTTGCTCTGTCGCCCAGGTTGGAGTGCAGTGGCGTGTTCTCCGCTCACTGCAAGCTCCGCCTCCTGGGTTCACACCATTCTCCTGCCTCAGCCTCCCGAGTAGCTGGGACTACAGGTGCCCACCACCACGCCCGGCTAATTTTTTGTATTTTTAGTAGAGACAGGGTTTCACCGTGCTGGCCAGGATGGTCTCGATCTCCTGACCTCGTGATCCGCCTGCCTCGGCCTCCCAAAGTGCTGGGATTACAGGCGTGAGCCACCACGCCCGGCTGACTTCATCCCTCTTTAGTGAAGGCCTGCAGTCAAGAAGCCCACCCACACACTCAAAGCTGCCCACCTACTTTTAATGCCTCACTCATCCGCATTATGAAGAGTCAGTAAACATTGGAGGAAAAGCTCTAATAAAAAAGTCAGGTTAGTTTTGACAAAATGAAAAAAAAAATAAAGAAATGGATAGGAAACAGTCAAGGCAGAGAAGAGCGGAAAACGTCCAAAAAAAAAAAACCTGAAATTAATGTCCTAAGAAAGATGAAACAGCTATTTCACCCATCAAATATGAACAAGATCCTACATTTTTTTTAAAAAAGGCAGCTTTGAAAAACAAGGAAGAGCTTTAGGAAATTAAAAGCATGAGTGTTGACATTTTTAAAAATGGGTCAAAAATTAGAAGATGAAGTGGGGCAGTTTACCATCTAGGTTCTTTTAGATGACTTTAGACTCATGAGAAATAAACACAAACATACATTTATTGAGTGCAGTTGCTGGGCTAACGTTTCCCGACTTGATATTAGCCCATTTATTACTGGTAAAAATCCACAAAGTCGGGGCATTTTACATCTGTTGGATTAAACAACTAAGGCTGAGGGAGCCCTGCCTGATTTTGCAGCTTCTATTAGCCTCATCGCCTCGAGAAAGAGAACTGTATGCCAATCGAGGCAGCCTGCCGCAAAGTTTCCAAGGGGCCGTATGGGGAGACAGCATCTTCATTGTCTAGCTAATTGAAAAAAGGAAGGTGCTCGAATGGAACCCAGCTGATATGAATAGTCTCAAGTGAGGACTCGGTCTTTCAGGCATGGACAGGGCCACCCAGCAGCTGACGACGTTAATAAAATTGTCAGGCAGCTATTAGAATAGCTTAAAATTATTCAATTTTTATAGGTACCTAAAAAAGCCGAACAACACTTGTCTTTGCTCATAAAATGAACATCTGTTAGCTCCCGGAAGACTGGTACCCATTGTTAGTGGCTGGCCCTTTGTATGTCACTCAGCCCAGGATGCTCATAATTTAGCTTGGGTTTTACTCCCTTCTTTAACATGGGCCCTGCAGTAGACATGCATATACTTGATGTTTCTTTTTTCTCAATTTTGTTTTTACTTTTCTCATTCCTTCCACTGAAAGACCATGAAATCAAACATTTGGATTCAACACGCACCACTTTGAGCTGTAACCTACCACGTGTCTTGCTCTGTACTGGCCCTTTGGGGCACTAGCTCATGCTCTCAGTGGCCATTTCAAGTAAACGACTAACTGGACATCATCGATGAGCAGGTTCCAGGGCCGTTGCGCCTAACACTACTTGGCACTCACAAAGGAATGAACACATTCTTGGTGTATGTATAGGGGAAATGGATCTTAGGGCTGAATTCTTGCTTGCATTCTGACAAATCAGCACAGTCTGAATGTTACGTCTTAGAAATGTCAACAGAAGGACCCAAGAAGCCTAAAACTTTAAGCATGGATGATGATGATAAGAATAATTTGCAAGCAAGAACTATGCCACCTCTCACCCTGAGTTGGTGACAGCCAGCCTCTGTTAGCCTTAGTTTTTATATCTGTAAAGTGGGGATGAAAATCTCTGCCTTAGAGTGTTGGTGTCTGGATCATTTGAGATAATGTATGTGAAATATATGGATTAGTGTCTGGCACAGAGTTGGGGTTCAGGAAATGGCTGTTCTTTAGTCTCCCCCTTGTCAGGGCTTGCACATCTAGAGATTTCCCTGCTGCAGGTACAGACCCAACCTAGATCCTGTGGGGACAGAAACAAGTATAAAACAGAACATTTTTCCTCAAGAAGCTTTCTGTATCACACGTAGCCTCCAAAAATTTCTCAAAGGTGGTTAGAACAGGTGTTTTAGGTGGGGAGGAAATAAAACGTTAAAAGAAATTCTGAAGCCCAAGATTTCTTTGTACAAGGAAACAAAAGTTGGGAGAGATTATTAGAGTTAGCAAGTGGTGGGAATGAAATAAGGGATAGATTTGGTCCTCTTCATCCCTGTTCTATTCATCCATTTATTTAGCAAGTGTTAATTAAATGCTCACTCTGTGCTAGGCACATCAGAGTGGTGCACCACTACGGCATCTAAGTTGATTGCAAAAATGTACTAAAACAGCTTTCTAGATCATCTAGGCACTCCTGAGGCTTCAGGCGCCTCCTTGCAATCCCCACCTTGCAGGCATGCAGTGTCTGTTGCATGGAACCATTGGAAGGAAGCTCACCCGGCAAGATAATCTTCTCTTGTTCCGGGCAGCCTGAGCAAACCTTGCATCCTAAACCATTCTTTCTAACTTCCTCTCCCTTCTTTGAGTTTGGTCCTTGAGACCCTACAGCTGAGGCTGATTGGTTGTACTGTGACAGTCCTTCAGGTAATTGAAGTCTACTATCAGAGCCTCCTGGGCGGTTTCCCTCCTCCATGCTGCATTTCTCCAGGTGAAGGATTCCAAGTTCATCAGGATCTTTGTCTTAAGACAGCAGCACACAATTACAAAAGCAGCATCGGTGCAACATATTCATGTTTCCTTGTGCCATTTTCTAGCTGTGTGATCTTCAGTCAGTAAATTAATCTGCATTAGGCTTCTCAAAAGGAAGTGTGGAGGTCACAGTGGTGTCCACATCCAGGTAGTTGGAGAGATAATTGATATAATTCAAAAGAATGCTGGCCAGGCACGGTGGCTCATGCCTGTAATCCCAGCACTTTGGGAGGCCGAGGCGGGTGGATCACCTGAGGTTAGGAGTTCGAGACCAGCCTGGCCAACGTGGTGAAACCCTGTCTCTACTAAAAATACAAAAATTAGCTGGGCATGGTGGCGGGCACCTGTAATCCCAGCTATTCGGGAGGCTGAGGCAGGAGAATCACTTGAACCCAGGAGGAGGAGGTTGCAGTGAGCCGAGATCGCGCCATTGCACTCCAGCCTGGGCAACAAGAGCAAAACTCCATCTCAAAAAAACAAAACAAAACAAGAATGCTGCACATGGAGTAGGTGATCCAGTTTGTCTATAAGTATAGTACTACTGGCTTGATGTTGTCAGGTGTCAGGTTATGGATGGAGAGGCCAAAGTACAATTAGGGCAAGTCAGTCACCAAGACTCTCACATCTGTTAGTGTGAAGATGAGGAGTGAGACCAGATATCAGTGCCCTGTCCACATTGAATGACTGGGTAGAGAGTCAAGCTCTGCAATTCCTGAGTCTCTGGTGTGTACTCTATGGTACTTAATGGCCAGTCAATAAGATACTGTTCTTTTAGTAGCAAAGAAAATGACTAGATAACCAAATAATTACATCGGAGTCCAGGGTGCATCATGTAGGCTGCTATTTCTCAAATTTGAATCTGCATGACAGTTCATCACACAGGGAGCTTTTAGATCCTGGTCCTCATCCCTGGAGACTCAGGCTCTGCAGGGACTGTGTGATAGGCCTTGTACTTGTGAAGCTGATGCATGATCCTCATGGGACATGGTCCTCAGAGCGCAACTATGCCTAGCTTCTAAATGCCTAGGTGAGCTGAATCTTGTAAGGCCAGAGAAAACAAGAGTGCTTAAAGGAGAAGGACGTTTTCTGCCTAGTTGTTTTGTTTTCGTTTTAACTTACCAGGAAAATATAAAAACAGTATCATTAGGAGACTTATCTGATGGCTAAAAAAAAAAAAAAAAAAGCCTCAGCAAGAGTCTTTCCAATAGGCAATGGTGTTTGCTAGCTTTCAGTGAGTTTTCTTAACGTTTCCAAATTCTGGGCCAGATGTTATTTATATAATCTCAGTTAGGAGAGCTTTTGGCTGCAAGTAACTGTGCTGTAAGCCATAAGGAGGTAGAGAGTGTTTCCAAGGCCCCTGATTCTTTCCATCCTTTTTCCATTCTTAGCACATTGGATTTTTATCTTCATGCTTTCCACTTCATAGTTGCAAGATGGCTGCCATAGCTCCAGGTGTCTTGTCTTCAGAGTCCCAAACAGGAAGCAAGAGCAAAGCTAAAATCCCTTCTTCCCAGAAGTCTGCCTTTTTATTTAGGATAGGAACCTCCAAAGCAGACTTCTCTTTACATCTGATAGTTTAGAAATTAGTTATAAGCTGAACCCTAGACCCTATCGCTGCTAGTAGGGAAGGGGATTACCATGTCTGGTTTATAGAGATTATGAGTTATTCCCTGAGGATAGGAAGAGGCCCACCTTTCCTGAAATCAGCAGTCTCCCGCTGCTGCCAAAACACAAACACATGGTTCTGTTAGCTGGTGAGAAGGAGGAAGATGGTTGGGTAGATATTAATAGCAGTGAGAATCCCTCATGAAGCTCAGAAAGGAGAAATAATCTTCCGAGAACACACAGCCAGCAAAGACAGAGTCAGTTGTCAAATTTGGGTTTGCCTTTGAAGCCCGTGTGCTTCCTATTTTACCATCCTGCATCTTAGAACATGCAGCCTTCTCATCAACCAGAGATGCTATCTGTTCCAGCAAACCTCAGAAAAAGATCCGATCCCCTGCCTTCGTTTCACAGATGGGAAAATAATGGCCAGCATGGGGGAAGTGATTCACCTAAGTTCACTGGCCTATTTGGCAGGCTGTGAGCCTCGTCATCTTTCCTTTTGGCATTTAGTACTTTCTGACCCGGTTAATAGCTAGGCACGTTGGGGCTGCTTTTGTCTTGTGTATACTTTATTGTCTGCTATCATTTTTTGCTTTAGCATCCCCATTGGTAAGTGCTCTTGCATGGATTCCCAGTAGGTAATGGGGCAACCACAGTAAATTAGGAAGGTAATTCGAGCTGTAGCATTTGATGCACCCCAGTCACAACTATGTTGTGCTGGTTCAACCTGAGGGACACATGAGCAGGAGGGAGGATAGAGAGCTCAGGGCTTGGGCTGCCAAGGCAAGGGGCCATCATGGTCCTCAAAGGCGATGAGCCAGGGATTAGAGAGGGCTCACCATTTCTACTCCTGAAAAAAAAGCAAGATAAGCTTTAAAGTCCCTTCCCAATTCTTTATAGAGTTTCCTTTGGCTAAGGCATAAGCTGATAGGAAAGATACTGAGGAAGGACAAAAGAGAGAATAATTAGAGGAAAAAAAGTGCTATTCCACGTGTAGGGAGTGAGATAAGGGAAGTGGTGAGTTGATGAGTTTCTCTCCTATAAAAGATGAGGCTGATGACATGAACTGTCTTTCAGGCTTGTTCTAAGAAGAGATGACTCCATACGTGCAAAATGCATAGAACAATGCCTGGCGTATAGTAGACACTCAATAAATGTTAAGTACTAAGAAATAAAAATAAAATCCTAAGCTCCCTAACAAATCAGACCATCTCTTGGTCAAGGAGACCCCAGAGTAACCTTGACAACTAAGTTGTCGGCCGTGATGGGTTGGGGGTGTCAGTGTCAAACATACCTCGTTATGCCCCCTCCCTCGCTAACCACCGTTAGGCTTTCTTCTGCAAGGGATTGACAAAAACCAGCCCTCTCAAGAGACTGATATCTACTAACCTGCTGATGCTGCCCCTCCTTTTTCACCTGATCAGAGATCACCCAACACAGAGTGGTTCTGGCCAGTCTATGGAGAATGTGCAATAAGAGTTTTTGTGTCCTTTGCTTCACCTTTTGACATCAGAGGATCAAAACCTCCACCCTTGGATAATGCTAACTCTGCCATTTTTTGTTCATGAGACACATGAAGGGCCATGAAGCTCAGTTGCTCATGGGCACGTGTCTCCTTTTATAAATATTCATGACTCCTCCTATAGCTTATTGAATATGTATATTTGGTCACCCTGATCAGCATAAATTTCTGTTTCCTTTTTCCCTCTGGTGAAGTGTCTGTTTCTGGTTTCTGACGGAGTCTACAGTCCCCAGCCTGTTAGAATAGCCACCATGCAGGCTGCGACCCTTTATGAGAAATAAATCTCTCCTTTCCAAATTTATGAACTTCATCATTCTTTAGCTGACACTACTGTATTATCCTTAATATTGGACATTTTGTGAGATTTTACCCCGCCCCGCCCCCCCCGACCTCTGCCAGAACCCACAGTTTGAAGAACAAAGTGGGTATGTCTACTCTGTACAAGGATCTGTTGCTAGAATATTTTACTCATATGGGTTTTTTTCTCGTTTAATCTTTCCAGCAGCCTGAGAGATCAATATTAATATTCTGATGTTACAGAGCAGAAAATCTGGGGGACCCTGAAAGATTAAGATCTGTTCAAGTCCAAAAAGACATTGGCACCAAAGTTGTTCTGCTTTTCCATGCAGGAACTCCACCTCTGCCTACAGCCAGCTGAGTCCTGCTCTAGGAGCAGATGTGGTTTGTCATTTGGGAACCACTGTTTACACCTCCTCCACTGTCTCCTGGGCCCTTTCTCCCCCTCCCTTCTTTCCTTTTGTTATTATGGTTTGTTCTGGTCAAGGGGCCAGTCACTTTCTCTTTGTGCTGTCACCTTCCTTTAATGGGTTCCACATCTGGGCAGATGATTCTACCTTCCCTCTAAAGAGGGTGTAGAGGAGCCAGAGAACCTCAGACTCTGGGTGGGGTGGGTGTCACACCGATGCAGGAGCATGTCAAGGAGAAAGACAGCAAGAGGGATTAAAGTTGGCACTCATCTTTGAGAGAGCCTCTGAACTGATTGCCATCCGAGTGCCACCCACCAATGAAAGGCCGTTCAGAATTTCTGTCCCCTGGGAACATAAATCCGATCGCCTTGGCTCTGTGTCTCCACTGCATCATCTCACTGGCCCTTTGAGCTCCTTCCACGTGGTAATGCCGTTATCTTTGTACGTGAACCACCTGCCTCAGAACCATTTGGAGTACGCTTGGGAAAACAGAGTTCCAAATCTAGCTCATCCGACCTATAGGGGTTTTTATCCTTGGAATTCGCTTCTTTTTTGAGACGGAGTTTTGCTCTTGTTGCCCAGGCCGGAGTGCAATGGTGCGATCTCGGCTCACTGCAACCTCTGCCTCCCATGTTGAAGTGATTCTCCTGCCTCAGCCGCCCGAGTAGCTGGGATTAGAGGCATGCGCCACCATGCCTGGCTAATTTTGTATTTTTAGTAAAGATGGGATTTCTCCATGTAGGTCAGGCTGGTCTCGAACTCCTGACCTCAGGTGATCCACCCGCCTCGGCCTCTCAAAGTGCTGCGATTACAGGCGTGTGCCACTGCACCCAGCCGGAATTTCCATTTTTAAGCAACTCCCGTGGTAACGCAGGTGCTGTCTTCAGGCCATGCTTTGAGAAATGCTGTAGTCAACTGTGAGCTGCAGGGGAGCATGTCTGTGACTCTCTCTTTGTATTCACAACCCCTTGCCTTGTGTATTTTTTTAATCAAATGGTGGATTAATTGAGTATTTGATTAATTAGTGTACAAAGAGAACAGAAGGAAGTCCGGGAAATGGAAAGTTTTAGTTTCTCAAGAGTAAAGGAAAACAGAATAAATCAAAGTTACCCTGGAAGATCAGAACAGCCTTTGCAGTTGATGGACTTGTGTTCTGTGTTCTCTCTCTGAACTCTTCCCAGCGCCTGTCCAGCGTAGGCTCTCTGCTGAGCCATGTGAGAGCACACGGATACTGCACTCTCTGAATCTTGTACACTACAGAAGTTTCATTACAAGCAAAACCCTTAGTCCAGGCACCTAGCTGAAATGTGAACAGGTGCCCATTCTAGGATTCTTCATCTGATAAATGCCTGCAAAGGCTCCAAGTCCAGCATTGAATACTGCCTTTTCTCTGAAGCCTCTTCTCTCCCCTCAAGCCACGTAAGGTCCATCTCTCTTTTCTTTAAGTGTCATCTGTGGCGAAAACAGGCCTCTTTAAGTCTCTGGCATTGTACCTATTTGTTCACTTGTGTGTTTCCTTCATTAGACTAGAAACTCTTAAGACAGGCTCTCCACTAATCCTCTGTAGAATTTTTTTTCATATAAATATAGTTTTTTTCTCTTATAAATACAGTCGTAAAACATTGCTATCTTTTGTAGCTTCTTTCAACCTAACATAATGTTTTCAAGGTTAGTCCATATTGTAGCATATGTCTGTAGCACATTTTTTATGGCCGCATTATACTCCGCTTTATGGATATATACCACATTTGTAATGCTTTCATCAGTTGATAGATACTTGGGCAGTTTTCACTTTTTGACTACCATGAGTAATGTTGCTATGAATATTTCTGTACATAGTTTGTGTGGACATACATTTTCAGTTCTCTTGAGTATATTCCTAGGAATGGGGCTGCCGGGTAATATGTTGACTCCATGTTTAACATTTCGAGGAATTGCCAAACCATTTTCCAAATGGCTGCACCATTTGCAAGGCTGTATTTTACAAGTAGCTGTTCATATGCTAAGAATACCAATCCGCTGTGTCTTCACTGAATGCCAGCTAACCAGACAGGTGAAACACAGGTGATGAATTTGGAGTCAAGACCTGCAGAAGCTTCCCGTCCCCGTAGCCTCTCTGAGCACTCATTCAGAAATAATGAGTGGATCCAGTATGCTGGGGGGGAAACATAGGGGACCCAGGACTTACGGGTCACCTAGGAACAGATGAAGTTGTTTAACCATGAGCTAAAGGCAGGATGGTATTTAATAGATACATTTTCATATCTGGGACCTGCATCTTGATTATAGATCAAATATCACTTGCATTTGTTTTTCTTTACTCTCAGTGACATGCAACAGAAGACAGGCTTTATTTGAGAGGCTGTTTCATGCAGCTTTCAGCTTGTTTCAGTCTCTTTGTCTACCTTGCCCAGTAGTCACAACCAAGATTCTGAATACCTCCAATTTCTTCTTGGAGATCATACTTCTTATGCTGCAAATCAAGGCAGTACTATGGGCCTGGGGTGGTAGTGGAATTTGCAGCGGAAGCAGTTTCATTGAAGACATATTTTCTTTGAGCCTCAATCTTGAAGGATTAAGCTGAGCATATTACTGTCAGAAGGTCAAGGGACCCTCTGTTCTCTGTGGCAGACCTGCAGAATGGAGTCAGGTTTCATTCTCTTCCTCCTTCCTCCGTGCCCTAATTATCACTTGACTTGAGTAAGCCATGAGTTCCATCTTGATGACATCAACACATTGCCTGATGGAAAGATGCTAAACAAAAGATTAAACATTTACACCTTCCTAAACCAGAAGACCTGTGTGCTAAAGAAATAGTAGTAAGCCATCTCAGTGTTTGGCAACCTTATTGGATTTCAGACAATTCTCTGGAATCTCTCTTGCCTGGTTTCTTTACCAAAACAAACTACTTTTGCCATCTGGAGATTAATTCAGTAGATAAACATGGGACAGAAAGGACCTTCTTTGCAGTACTTTTTCCCAGTGGGCTGTACTTTGCTTATAGCTTCTGTGGGACTTAGTTTTTTTTGTTTGGTTTGGTTTTGCTTTTTTTTTTTTTTTAGCTTTACCTAGAAAGTTTTGGCAGATCAGCCAACCAGGAAGAGTGACGTGGTTTTCTCACACCCTGGGGGAGACTTGTTCCACTTTCTCACACTCATGTTGGAGTGGGAAAAGAGGGCTTACTCCAAACCCTCCAGGAGGAAAATCATTGTCTGGTACCAGATGTAATTTCAGAAAAGGGTGGGTTGGAGCGAATGGGAGAGCATGGGAAAGTGATGAGGGGTGAGACGTTATGTGGCCCCAGGATTGAGTTGGACATTTCTTTTGCTCAAGTAAACAAATTATGCATCTGATCCTGTACTAAGAAACTTATTAGAGAAGATTTTATAAGATGACAAGAGGGTAAATTAGAAAATAGATTAGAAAGGTGATAATATTGGTGAGTGCCAGGAGTTAGAGATGTGGGGAGCCTGGCAAGGAAATGGGCTTGATTTTATTATTATTATTATTTTTTTTTTTTTGAGGGGAGTCTCACTCTGTTGCCCAGGCTGGAGTGCAATGGCGCAATCTCAGCTCACTGCAACCTCTGCCTCCTGGGTTCAAGCAGTTCTCCTGCCTCAGCCTCCTGAGTAGCTGGGATTATAGGTGTGTGCCACCACGCCCTGCTAATTTTTGTATTTTTAGTAGAGACAGGGTTTCACCGTGTCAGTCAGGCTGATCTTGAACTCCTGACCTCATGATCCGCCCGCCTCAGCATTCTAAAGTGCTGGGATTACAGTCGTGAACCACCACACCCGGCTGGGCTTGATTTTTATAGAGGTGTAGATTTAAGGAGATTTTAGTGATGATGGCACAGTTCTCTGTTTTGATTGCCATGATGGTTTCTTGAACACATACGATAAAATGGCATAGAACTATACACACATATTGTACCCATGACAGTTTCTTCATTTGGATATTGTACTAGTTATCTAAGATACCAACATTGGCAGAAACTGAGTGATGGATACACAGAACCTCTCTGTACGTTTTTTGCAATTTCATATGCATCTATTGTTATTTCAAAATAAAGTTATTTTTAAAACCTAGAATGAGGACAGGAAATAGTAACACAAATAGAAAAAAAAAAAAGAAATGATATGATGGACAATGCAGATAATGGCATAGCATTAAGCAGGTGTAACCTCTACTGGGCTCCTGACAAATGGTGACATTTAAAACAGGGCAACCACACTGCATCTAATGTGGTGGCCTTCATTAAGATTTTCCAAGAGGAAAATGTTTGCGATTCATGTCACAGACAATAGGCTAATCTCAAAATTAGATACAAAGAACCCCTAGAAATTAGTATTTTAAAAGACAAGTAACCATGGGTACAGAGTATCAACACACAGTTCACAGAGGAGGAAATGCAGGTTGTTGGTTTTTAACCACAGAAAGAGAAGCAACTTCTGCCTCGCAAAAATAAAAAGAAAGGAATGCAAATAAAAACAATAGTGAGGGCTGGGCAGGGTGTCTCACGCCTTTGGGAGGTCAAGGAGCACTTTGGGAGGTCAAGGTGGGCGGATCACCTGAAGTCAGGAGTTCGAGACCAGCCTGACCAACATGGTGAAACCCCGTCTCTACTAAAAATACAAAATTATCTGGGTGTGCTGGCACACACCTGTAGTCCCAGCTACTCGGGAGGCTGAGGCAGGAGAATTGCTTGAACCCAGGAGGCAGAGGTTGCAGTGAGCCGAGATCGCGCCATTGAACTCCAGTCTGGGCAACAAGAGTGAAACTCCATTTCAAAAACAAAACAAAACAAAACAAACAAAAACAGTCACCCAAGCTGAAGTACAGTGATGCAGTCTTGGCTCACCGCAGCCTCTACCTCCCGGGCTCAAGCCATCCTCCCACCTCAGACTCCCAAGTAACTGAGACTACAGGTGTGTGTCACCATGCCTGGCTAATTTTTGTTTCTTTTTTTTTTTTCTTTTTTTTAGATAGAGTCTTGCTGTTGACCAGGCTGGAGTGAAGTGGTGCAATCTCGGCCCACTGCAACCTCCACCTCTTGGGTTCAAGCGATTCTCTTGCCTCAGCCTCCCAAGTAGCTAGGATTGCAGGTGCATGCCACCACGCCCAGCTAATTTTTGTATTTTTAGTACAGATGGGGTTTCACCATGTTGGCCAGGCTGGTCTTGAGCTCCTGACCTCATGATCCACCCACCTTGGCCTCCCAAAGTGCTGGGATTATAGGCATCAGCCACCGCACCTGGCCTTTTTTGTATTTTTTTTAGAGACAAAGTCTCCCTATGTTGCCCAGGCTGCTTTGGAACTCCTGAGCTTAAGCAATCCACCCGCCTCCACCTCCACCTCCCACAGTGCTGGGATTACAGGCATGCACCAGAGATACCATTTATTAACTCTCAGATTACTGAAAATCTGTAAGTTTGGTAACACATTCTGTTGGTGATGCTGGTGGGAGTGCAAATGAGCACATCCCCTGTGAACTGCCTTTCAGCAACGTCTACAAAATGCCTGTGACAGAGGTGGCTAACTCTTCACCAAAAATTTGTCTTGCTCTTCCTCAGTAATACAGTTACAGCTGGCAAGTAGCTCAGCAGCTAAGGGCTTGATATAGTTTGGATGTTTATCACCTCCAAATCTCATGTTGAAATGTGATCCTCAGTGTTTCAGGTAGGGCCTGATGGGAGGTGTTTGGGTCAAGGGAGCGGATCCCTCATGAATGGCTTAGTGCCATCCCCGTGGTAATGAGTGACTTCTTGCTCCGAGTTCACATGAGAGCTAGTTGTTTAAAGAAGCTGGCACCTGCCCTTTCTCTCTCCCGCTCCTGTTCTTGCCATGTGACTTGCCTGTTCTCCCTTTGCCTTCTGCCGTGATTGGAAGCTTCCTGAGGCCCTCACCAGAAATAGATGCAGGCGCTATGCTTTGTATATAGTCTGCAAAGCTATGAGCCAAAATAAACCTCTTTTCTTTATAAATTACCCATTCTCAGGTATTCCTTTATAGCAGTGTGAATGGACTAACACAGAGCTACACCTCTCAGCTTCCCTTGCAGACATTGCTAGTACTCTGCATTAGAATGTGAGTAGAAAAAACGTGGTGTATGTATATGTGTTTGCAAAAAATGGCCACAAGTTTTTCCCCTGCCTACATCGGTTACTTTCACCAAGACTGTGTAGCTCCTCCCATTAAGAGGAGGCATCTATGTCCACTTCCTGAATCTGGGCCGGTCTTGTCGTTTGTTTTGACCAATGTAATGGTATGAGCATGACACAAGCAGAGACCTGAAAAGTACTTGAGCACTGGGGCTCCCCCTGCCACTCTGGGAGCCTGTCTGCCCTGTTGTGAACAAACCCGGGCTAGCCTGTTGGAGGATGAGAGCCCATGTGGAGAGAGGCCCCATCATCTGAGCTATCCTATGCTAGCAGGTAAGGCCACCCTATAGTAGCCAGCCCAGCTGATCCAACAGCTGTACTTATGGCTGCAGAGGCATGAGCACCGTAGCCCAAACCAGAACAGCCCAGCTGTGTCAGGCCAGCTTGCCTACTTGCATTTTAAGCCACTACATGTGAGGATTACTTGTTACACAGCAATGCTGACTGATACAGTGTGCTACTTCTTGGAGAAACTTTTTAAGAACCACGTATTTCTTCACTGTGTTCTCTTTTTACTGTCCTATAGTCATTCCTGAAATAACCCATAGTTCCCAGCCAGTGGGACATCTCATTTTGCAACCAGGCAACAGTGCCAAAATACACTCATCCAGGCTCCTCTTTGGCAAGCGCTGGGGACTGAAAATCAGTGCCCTGGCCTCAAGGAGCTCACCTGCCAGCAAAGACAGACACATGTAAACAACACAATCAAATTACTACTTATTTTTATTACTAATAGATACATTGATTTCAGGTGCTGATCAGTGCAATGAAAATACAGCTGGAAGCTTGTTATGCCTTAAGGAAGTGAGCTTTTGGGAATCAGTTCACGGAGCCACTCCACGCTTTCTTTTTACATTGAAGGAAGAGAGGCCCACACAGAAGTCCCAAAACAGCAGCTCGTGTTTTGCACGGAATCCCATGAATTTCTGTCAGATCATGTCTCATAGAGCATTACTAAAACCAGGACAGAAAGACGCAGAACACTTCCGGGAGTCAGGCAGAGCAGACTGGGATTAGGATTCAGATGTGAACAGAAAGCAGCTGCAAGCTGATGTGGCTCAGCTCAATGCCCAGGTGGGCAGTGGGGGCAGGTGTTGGTGGGGAAGTGAGTTAGAGATGGCCCAGCTCAGCACTGCTGTGTTCTGCAGAGAGTTCAGAGTCCCCTCCCGTGCTTGTCAGAGAGCAGAAGCTTGCTGTCTCCCTGCGGGATTGTGGGATTTGGAGAACAGCCACCCCCATGAATCTCAGGTACAGGATGGTTTAAGAAGCACTGAGGCCAGACACAGTGGCTCTTGCCTGTAATCCTAGCGCTTTGGGAGGCTGAGGTGCAAGGATTGATTTAGCCCAGGGTTTCAAAACCAGCCTGGGCAACATAGTGAGACCCCCCATCAGTACAGAAAATAAAAAATTAGCCAGGCATGGTGGCACACGTCTGTAGTCCCCATTTCAGGAGGCTGAGCGATACAAAAAGTAGAAAATTAGCCAGGCGTGGCAGCACAGGCCTGTAGCCCCAGCTGCTTGGGAGGCTGAAGAGGGAGGATTGCTTGAGCTCAGGAGATCCAGGCTGCAGTGAGCTCTGATCACACCACCGCACTCCAGCCTGGGTGACAGAGTGAGACCCTGACTCCAAAAAAAAAAAAAAAAAAAAAAAGAGAAAAACCACTGAAACAGATAGACGAACAGTCTCTTAGCCTCTCAGCAAGAGGAAGCCAGGGAGTACAAACTTCTTAATCCTAAGGAAAAGAAAATGCTACTTAAACTAAATATCAAGAAGAGACAAATTCCCCTGTGCTTAAGAACACGACTTGGAAATGTTCTCTTTTTACCCAGCGTCATAAACAGAATGTGGGCTGGTGATGTGGCCATGTAGATCAGCCTCTCAAAGAATGAATTGTTTTCTTTCTCTTTTTTTTCCTTGTTTTTCACTTCTAAAATACTATGTTTCCTCTTTTGGTTAAATGACAGACTTGCTTTTAAGAAGAGCAGTCAAGGATGTAAAAATAGTGATTTCAAAGAAAGCTGGGAGAGAATCATCATTTACGTGTTTTTGTTTTTTCAATTTGGGAATAAACTCCCAGTGTGGGTGGGGAGTGTCTGGAGCCTGAGAGGGAACCTGGGTGTCTTCGGGAGCCAGTGCAGGGGCTGGTACTTTATTTTATGGGGACCTGTGGCCTGAGATGCGTTTTAGAGGTAACAGTGCCCCCTTCTGGTGCAAATGAATAAAGAGTTGAGGTTTCTGTAAGTATAATTTAGATATCCCCGTGGCAGAGTGGAGCTTTTAAACTCATTGTCTCTGGGGCAGAAATTATGCCTTGGCTGTTCCTCCCTCCAACCCCAGGGAGCCCCCCTGGGTCTCCTTTGAGGCATGCTCCTCTCTGAGGCATATGTGACCACACACACACACACACACACACGCGCGCGCACGCACGCAGCTCAGGGACCTGCAGAATTGCCAGAGATCATTGCAGTGAGTCAGGATTCCTCTGTCTTGACTTGGATCTTCATTCTTCAGCTTGAGCATATCCATGAGATTTTTTTTTAATCTGCAGAAAGCCAGAGTGCTCTGTGGAATCAAGCTGCCTGTGAAAGTGTTTCTTTTCTTTTCTTTTGCCTAAAACAAATTCCAACTAGCTGTCTTGTTTTAGGTAAGTTCCAACTAGCTGACTTCCATCTGGTCAGCTAGTTGTACAGTCATATGTGTACACATCCAGGGGCAGAAACATCTAGGATGTTGGTCCCTGGATGTGCGGGTCCCTGGATATATGTACACATGACCGTCTCTTTTGATGTATGTCAGGATGTGATCAGAATTAACACTTAAACCCCCACGGTCAGTACCACACCCCTTTCTCTGCCCCACTCCAGTCCCCTCAGGGGGTGCAGTTACACTTCCACTCCTGTCCTAGTGAATTCTCCTTGGCCTGGTGACCTGGGAGGGCCTCATTGGAGAACAAGAATATTGGACACTATCATGATCAACACTAGGGGAGAAGGGCCCAGACTCCAGAGCCAGTCAGCCTGGGTTCAAATCCTGTGCCTGAGGCCGGGCGCGGTGGGTCGTGCCTGTGATCCCAACCTTTTGGGAGGCCGAGGCCAGCGCAACACCTGAGGTCAGGAGTTCGAGATCAGCCTGGCCAACATGGTGAAACTCCATCTCTGCTAAAAATACAAAAATTAGCCAGGCATGGTGGCATGTGCCTTTATTCAGGAGGCTGAGGCATGAGAATTGCCTGAACCTGGGAGGCGGAGGTTGCAGTGAGCTGAGATGGTGTCACTGCACTCCAGCCTAGGCGACAGAGTGAGAGTGTCTCAAAACAAAAACAAATCCTGTGTCTGCCATTTGCTGGCGTGTGACCTTGGGCTGTTGATTTAACCTGTTTGGGATTCAATTTTCTCACATAGGGATGATGATCACAATATGTAATTCCTGGGATTTGTGTGACACACAGATGAGTTCCTCTATGCCACGTATTTAGAGCAGCGCTCAGCATAAAGGACTTCATGCACATTAACCATTATTCTAGCTTCTTGGCTTAAGGTATGAAGTTGCCAGATCTTCTCAGCTGTATGATTTCCTCAAGTCAAATCCTGGTTCCCATTGCCTTGAGAAGAGAGGGTGCCTCAGATCCCAGAAAAATCTGTAGGAGTTGGAGTGATCTAACGACAGCAAGGAGAGTGAATTTGGGGCATCACCCAGTTCTCCTTATAATCTTCAGGCCAGTCCTGCTCACTGCTGTCTGACTTTGTAGCCTGATTTTTCCAGATGAAGCTGCTCTTGTTGACCCAGGTCTCCCCCTTCTTCTTTAAGGTATATTGTATCTGTGGGATACAGACATAGTGCAGGACTGAGGCCATGCATTCTCCTTCCTAAGAGCTTCTTACTCCGGGTCTGTGGGTAGATTCCAGGGATTCTCAGACTCTCTCAGAAGTTGTATACAAAATTCTCTGGGCGGCCCGGCACAGTGGCTCACGCCTGTAATCCCAGCACTGTGGGAGGCTGAGGCAGGCGGATCACAAGTCAGGAGTTCGAGACCATCCTGGCCCATATGGTGAAACCCCATCTCTACTAAAAATACAAAATTAGCCGGGCGGGTGCTAATATTTGCTAATATTGGTGGCAGGTGCCTGTATTCCCAGCTATTCGGGAGGCTGAGGCAGGAGAATCGCGCTTGAACCCAGTGAGCCAAGATTGCACCACTGCACTCCAGCCTGGGCAACAGAGCGAGACTGTCTCAAAAAAAGAATTCTTTGTGCATTATATGTATGTTTTTGTAGCTCTACTCCACCGAGTTCAGCCCTTTTTATTGGACAACTTTCCTAGAGGTTAGAGTGCGTCTTTAGTACTTGTTGGGTGATGATGGGACAGAGAGGGGTGTGGAGGGGTTGAGGGATATAAGTTTGTAGCCACTTTCCAATTTTTCATCCTATCGTAGCTTCTCTTAGTAATCCAGAGTTAGCTTTCTAGTGGCTCAGGTGTATAGCTCTGGAATCATCAGTTAATACGTATTCACAGTTAAGGGGAATTTGTAGGGAAAAAAATGCCACATGCTGCTTCCCAGAGCTGAGGATTTTCATCAGCTCTTCTGAATTATTCACACTCCTCGTCCCTTTTTTAATGTAGATAACAAAGAGTTGGTAGCAATATAAGAGTGCGTGTTTGCCTTTTAAGGCTATAGTCAACATATAAAAAGAAAATGATGTGTTCCCTTGAGTACTTACTACTGTCTAGTAAACAGGGGACAGAGGTGCTTAAATAGGAGGAAGTGGGCTGGGCATGGTGGCTCACGCCTGTAATCACAGCACTTTGGGAGGCCGAGGTGGGCGCATCACAAGGTCAAGAGATCGAGACCATCCTGGCCAACATGGTGAGACCCCATCTCTACTAAAAATAAATTAGCCAGGCGTGGTGGCGCCTGCTTGTAGTCCCAGCTACTTGGGAGGCTGAGGCAGGAGAATCGCTTGAACCCGGAAGGCGGAAGTTTGCAGTGAGCGGAGATGGCACCACTGCACTCCAGCCTGATGGCAGAAGGAGACTGTCTCAAAAATAATAATAATAATAATAATAGGAGGAAGTTGGGGAGGCTTCCACCCCATCATCTTGGTCTGTCCTCAGTGGTCTGATGGGATGCAGGACCAGCTGTATAATTTGTGAGGCCTGGTGCAAAATGAAAGGTGGGGCTTCCTTTTTTTAAAGAAATGTGTTAGGAGTTTCAAAATGGTGATAGCAAGCCATTAAACCAAGCACAGGGTCTTCGTCAGCACAAGGCCCTTTAGATCCTGTGTCCCTAAAGCTGGCCCTGGTGAGACATAGGGATGTGGGCCTCTCCCCACATCCTCACACTATTTCAGCCCGCTGGATGTCTTGCCTGCCTTCGTCACACCAGGCACACATCTGCCTTGCCTGCTTTGTGCTTACTGTTTCCCCGCCTTTAAGCCTCTCTCCCCAGATAGCCCTAGCCCTCGCTCCTTCATTTCCTGCAGGTTTCTGCCCAGAGCTCACCTTAGCAGAGGGGCCTCCGCCATCAGTCTTCTCTCAAACAGCATCCCTCACACCCTCCCTGCATCCTCTGCAACAAACTCTCAGCTTTCACTATGGATTTATCTGTCTATCATTGATTGCTCTTCTCACGCTGGTGAAGCGCAGGCTCTTAGAGGGCCTGGACACGGTGGCGTTGCTCACTCCCGGACTCTGTGAAGCTGGCAAGGTGCCAGGCTGGTGCTGTGTGTGTGGAATACACAGGTGGGAGTGTTCTTTGCTAACTGGGGAAGGCAAGCCAAAGGGTGAGAGGCCAAGGGGAGGGTGAGGGGTGACTCTGGACTCGTCACCTCTCATCCTGATCTTGTCAGGCAGGAGCACCTTCTTCCTGCCAGTGTTCATCATTCTGGAAGCCTTTTGTAAGATCCAGGGCGCTGACCAGGGAACTTTCCATGCACCACCTTTTGGGCAGATTAAGTCCGGGGACTACTGCCTCCCCTGCCTGGGTTCTTCAGTGTATAAAATGAGGGGGTTTCTGGGGTAGCTTTTCTGGCTGTTTTCTCGTTGAATGTGTTGTTGATGAGTCCAGAGTTCTTGTTTAGCTCCAGTGTTCTGGGAAAGATCGTCCTGGCTGTCTATTTTCTGCTCCCTGTGAAAATGAGTTCATTCATTCAACAAACACATACCAAGTGCCAATCATGTGTCAGGTACGCTAACAGGCCCTCAGAATACAGCAGCAACAAACAGCAAGCAGACCCTCCGGAGTTTACCTTTTCATGGATGTGATGTCTGCAGGGATGAACAGTTTGTCATGGATAGATTTGCTGCTCTCTTTCTAGGTCTCTGTGCATCAATTTGCACTGGAAAAGCCACTTGCAATGCTGTAAAAGAAGGAGTATTTGGAGCGAAAGTCTAGGGACCTTCATTAAAATCTAGGTTTCTGGGCCTCAGCACCAACAAGTGTGGCTTTGGGGTCAAGAGCTTGCGGTCTGGAATCACATCATGCAGCATTCATTCTTTTTTGTTGTTTTTTATTTTTTATTTTTTTTTTTTTTAGCTACACCTGCTGAAATGGGAGGGGTTCATTCTTGGCTCTACTGTTTTCTGAGAACTTGAACAAATAAACTGCTCGATATCAATTTGTTTTTATTTTCAATAGCAAAATAAAGATAGGAACATTACGTGCCTGCGAGGAGATCCTTTACCTAAAGCGCTTAGCACAGTGCCTGGTTCATGCTGTTCACACAGTGCTGTGTGTTCATGTTATTGACAGCCTCAGTGACAGCCTCAGTGAGCTTAGGTCACTATCTTTGGGCCTTGGCTGTCCCCTTCTATCAAATGAAGTGATTGTTTCACCCCTTTATAGGTCCGTGTTTCTGACTCACTTTAATAGGACTGAAACTCGTGATTGTCTCTCCTCCACGTGTAGACTAGCCGACTAAAAGAAGGCTATATGATATATATATACACGTAGTTGTCCCTTCATATCCGTAGGGGCCTGGTTCCAGGAACCCCGTGGATACCAAAATGTAGCAATGCTCAAGTTCCTTATATTAAATGGGGTTGTATTTACATACAATCTATGCACATCTCCTGCATACTTTAAATCATCTCTAAATTACTTATAATACCTAGCACCATGTAAATAGTTATTATACTGTATGAATTTTTAAATTTTGTGTTACTTTCGTTTATTTTTATTTTCATTGTTTTTTCTTAGAATATTTTTGATCCACATTTGGATGAAGTCGCAAATGTAGAACCTGGAGATACAGAGGGCTGGCAGTATACACCTGTGATACATATGTGTGTGCATATGTCTATGAATATATATATACACACATATGCAGGCATAACTGTGCATCATCGTGTGTGTGTGTGTGTGTGTGTGGACACACATAGACTAGCCGACTGAAAGAAAGCTATGTGAGATGTATACACACACAGTCATCCCTCAGTATCCACAGGGGACTGGTTCACATAAACATATATGCAGTCTGTGACACTTAATGATGGGGATATGTTCTGGGAAATGCATCATTAGGTGATTGCATCATTGTGCAAACATCACTGAGTGTACTTATACAAACATAGATTCTATAGCTTCCCACACATCTAGGCTATATGGTATAGCCTGTTGCTTCTAGGCTACAGCCTGGGCAGCATGTCACTATACTGAATACTGTAGGCAGTTGTAACAAAATGGTAAGTATTTGTGTATCTCAACATAGAAAAGGGACAGTAAAAATGCAACGTCATAATCTTATGGGACCACAACACTATACTGTCTGTTGTTGACCAAAACATCATTATGTGGCACATGACTCGTGTGTGTGTGTGTGTGTGTGTGTGTGTGTGTGTACATCAGCTCTTAAGTCTCTAGAGCTTTCTGTATCTGGCATTGCAGTCTCTCAGCCAGCATTCCAATCCCTGAGAGATGCTGCTTTTTCACATGTGGGAGCGTTCCGGGATTAGAAAAATGAACTCTTGTCTCTTCCAACTCAAGGGTTCTATCAGTCCTGTTGCAATCCAGACAGATTTTACTTAATTTCCTCTCTTGCATGTGTTTGTTTTGCTTGTGTATTGAAGAGAGTTGCATCTCGCTGCCTCCTGGATCTGCTTATCAGCATTTTTTTCAGGCAGAGTGTGTTCTTGCTTCTGCTGGTCTCCATCATTCTGGATACCATTTGTAAGATTCAGGACCCTGGCCATATAACAGTCTGGAACAGGAACCAAAAAGTGTTTGAGTTGCTGTATGCTCAATAATGCACTGATTTCACAAGGTTTAGCCCATTTAGCTCACAGAGGAATCTCAGCCAAAGTTTAGACTTGGGCAGCTTTTCTTATTACCTTGAAATTAGTCTCGATTACCCTTAAATTACTGAAGATTGACCACCATGCAAAGTGGTTTCTCCTTTCATTAATCTTACTAACTGGCTGCATTGTTACAAATCTTTTTTCCTAGCCAGCACAAGATTCCTTTTCTGCAAAAGGGCTTCTCCCGCGGTGCCTTTCTTTTACATTCCTCACTTCTAGTGGTTTGATTAATGGTCACACCAGTACACATCCTGACAGCCGTGCTTCCACTTGTGTCTCACCAGCAAAACCATCTGGGTGGAAGGTTTGCATCTCTGGGATCCTCAGGCATTAGGCACCTCCTTTTGCATAAACCTGGGTTGGAGTGATGTCACACATCTGGCTCAGGCATTTAAAAAACAATTTAAAAAAAACAGTGAATGTGTTTGCTTATTATAGAGTACATTGTGAGCATCACAGGGTATGTTGAAGACAAGAGAAAATTAGGGGAAAAGAGAAGAATCATACATCTCCTACTACCTGAAGATCACCATTATTTTAATTATTTATTTTTGAGATGGAGTTTCACTGTTGTCACCTAGGCTGGAGTGTAGTGGTGTAATCTCTGCTCACTGCAACTTCCGCCTTCCAGGTTTAAGTGATTATCCTGCCTCAGCCTCCCGAGTAGCTGGGATTACAGGCGCCTGCCACCACTCCCGGCTAAATTTTTGTATTTTAGTAGAGATGGGGTTTTGCCATGTTGGCCAGGCTGGTCTCGAACTCCTGACCTCAGGTGATCTTCCTGCCTCGGCCTCCCAAAGTGCTGGGATTACAGGCGTGAGCCACTGCGCCTGGCCCACCATTATTTGATTAGTTACTTGCAATCTACTTTTCTGTATATTTTTAAAGACTGTTGTTTTCCTCCTATATGTAATTCTGACTTCTGCCTTTTATTTTCACTTAATATTATCGATCTTTGTAACTGTCACTTTCATTGACTGGGTAATGTTCCATCTAGTGATAAATCATAATTTTTTAAAAGACATTCTCCTATTTTGGGCCAGTTAGGATGTTTCTGGTATTTTGAAGATTTAATTAAAGACTGTTGAATTTCTTTGGCATACAACATTCCCTATTTCAGATTCATTTTTAATATAAATTAGCATAGTATGATTCCTGGGTCAAAGGATTTGAATTCTCTTAATCTACAATATCAGTTTCCTTCCTAAGAGGCAAGTGTCTCTTTATACTGCAACCAGAATGTCAGAGAGAGCCCTGTCAGAGGTAAATTTAATATTTTAGCTCATAATGAAGTTCTATGACATTAATTTTTTACAGGACTTTTTTAAGAACAAGGAAAAAAATCATGGCTTTACAAAAAACAACTGTATGGTCAACCTACAAGTAAACAGTTCCCTTTCCTGGGCCTCAGGTACAATAAAGAGATGAGACAAGAAGATATGCTACAGTCCCATCCACTTGTAGGGGAGTTAGCCATTGCAGTTAGACAGTTTGACAAAAGCCATCTCTGGCTGTGGAATCAAAGGAGGAAAGGCTGGGTACTAAGTAGAAAAATGACATTTCGTTTCGTGGAAAACAAGCAACCTTGACATAACTCAGATTTGTCTTACAAGGATGGAATGAGCAGAACTTGCCTTGCCAGAGACGCAGTTCACAATGGAGGTAGTCAGAGATAAGAAGACAGACTAGGGCCATGCAGAGCTGAATGCATTCCTTCTACCAAGTCCTTTTCCAGGGTAAAGCTCTCCATCCCTGTCATAGGGTCTGCAAACATCACAGCTGCTGGGGTAGAGGAAGGGTCCATTCTCTAGACTGGATCATGAGATCAGTCCCACTGGTTGTACTTCTTAGGTCACCTAAAATCCATGGAATATTTGGGAACTATGATTACAGAGCTAGACGTGCCCTGGAATTTATCATGCAAAGCTGAATCCCCCCTCACTCTGAGTAACAACACAGAAAACCTCTTTAAATGCCAGGGAAATATCACCCTTGTTGTCTGTATCAGAGACTAAAAGTATTCTTAATAGTTTAAAGGGTACTCAATAAATATTACCACATGGGGTATTAAGCTTCCAGATTACCCCACCTCAAGGCATACAGCAGTACACACACAGGTACAACTCATGTGGCTGGCATCAGCAACATAAAGAAATAGCAGCAGTAAAAGCTGCGTGTGAAGATACCTGAGTACAGCTGCCACATGTGGAAACATCTGTCCAAATGGGAGGAAAGTCTGGCTGCCCCCGTTTGGTCTCATCAGTCATTTAATGGCCCATCAGTAAAACAGGAAGAAAATCACTATGTGTGTGATGGATTGCCCGACAATACAGAACTGTATCGGCACCCGCCACCTTGAATTGGGTTCATTTGTATATATGCTTGCCTTCTCTCAAGAACAGGGACCATTTGCCAGTCATTGGAGAGCCTGGGGCATGTAGCACGGACTTCAGAACCAAAAGCTAAGCCAGGCTGGGTGTGGTAGCTCACGCCTGTAATCCCAGCACTTTGGGCGGCCAAGGTGGGCGGATTGCTTGAGTTCAGGAGTTCAAGACCAGCCTGGGCAACATAGTGAAACTCTGTCTCAACAACAACAACAAAGAAATACAAAAAATTAGCCAGGCACGGTGGCATGCACCTGTAGTCACAGCTACTCAGGAGGCTGAGGTGAGAGGATCATTTGAGCCTGCGAGGCCAAGGTTGCAGTGAGCCAAGATTGCATCATTGCACCCCAGCCTACCCTCCTGGAGTTAGATCCTGTCTCAAAAACAAAACAGAAAACACCAAACCAGTTTTTAGCCTCTGTGGACTTTGGTATTTTCTTATCAGTGAAATGTGGGCTATACACACTTACCAGCGGAGGTGATAGAGTATAGCAGTCATTAGCACATCCTCTGGAGACAGGCAGCCTGGGTTCCAATTTTACCTCCACTTTTTACTAGCACGGAGACACAAGCCAATTGTTAGAGGTCTCCTCTCTATGGCTGAATTTCCTCATCTGTAAAGTTCCTAACTCATATAGTTATTGATTAAATCAGTAAATATGTATAAAATGCTTAGAGGAGACTTGGGACCTAGTAGGCATGTTATTCGAATTTGCTGTCATCACCACTACCCCCTTACAAGGTGGCTGCAGGGATTAAGACTTGCATGTTTAGACTGCTTCGTGCATGGTCGGTGCCTAATAAATGTAGTTACTATTATTGTGTTTACATCCCTAACTCCCAGTACATTGCTTGCTTATGGTAGTTTATTAAGTAGAATAATGAGCTCATTTCTCAGGTTTATTCTCTAATCTGTTAGGTAGGTGCTGGAATATTGATTTGGTTTTATTATTGTACTCACACATTCTTGTTCTTTAGGTTTCAAATGTAGATCAAAGCAAGGTCAGAGATGAGGGCTCACAGGGGAGCGGCGAGACTTTTTCCCAAATGCAAAATTGTCATAGGTTGGTGAAGCCCAGGTAAACATGCACCGCTCACTTTTCCTTCACTCTCTGCGATTCATTTCTGTCTAAATGAAAGCAGACGAGAGAGATTTTAAATTGCCCAGTTAGGTTTGGGCAAAACACAGATCATTTATAAAAACACAGAACATTTATAAAATCTTGGACGCAATGGCACACACTTGTAATCCCAGCACTTTCAGAGGCCAAGGTGGGAGGATCACTTGAGGCCAGGAGTTTGAGACCAGATTGGGCAGTATAGCAAGACCCTATCTGTACCAAAAAATTTAAAAATTAGCTGGGTATGGTGGCATGCACCTGTAGTCTGGGCTACTTGGGAGGCTGGGGTGGGAGGATCACTTGAGCCCAGGGCTTTAAGATTACAGTGAGGTATGATTGTGCTTTGCTCTCCAGGCTGGGTGACAGAGCAAGACCCTGTCTCTTAAAAAAAAAATAAAAATCCCTCTTTCCATAGAGGACTCTATTAAACATGACACCATTTCATCCTTGCAATGGAATGTGTGCTTGGGACCTCCAAGACAATTGTTTTTGTTGCACTGCCTCCATTTTGCAGATGAGACAGATGAGATGGGGAGAGGGTCTTGGATCAGGTTGAAGGAGAGTATTGATGAGGCCAGTGGTTCTCAACAGGTGGCCCTGGGACCAGCAGCATCAGCCTCACTTGGGAACTTGCTGGTATTCAAAGTCTTGGGGTGCACCCCAGGCATACTAAATCAGTAACCCTAGGGGTGGGGCCCTCAGTGATTATAATGCGTGGGAAAGTTTGAAACCCACTGGGTTAGGCGGATCATTTTAGGCAGGTGATGTCTTTTGGAAGGACAGCCTAAGGCCTGATATACCTGTTCTTTTCCTCACTCCCCAAGCAAATATATACCTGTGACCACACAATCAGAGCGGTAAATTGAAGCCAATTAGCAGCTAAGTAACTGCCAGCACTTGTCACCAGGGTAGTTGTTAGTAATTAGCACTAATGACTCTAGAGAGGAAAACAGTTGTGGTTCAAAGACATCCCCACCATTTGAATTCACTCTGGGTTTTTTCCCACACTTCCCTGCCATATTTTCCTTTTGCATGCAAACACCATCGCAGTTGGATGGATGCTTCTCGGGAGACAAATGTCACGTGAAGTAATAATATGCGATGAGTTTTTAATGCTTGCCAGGATGAGATTGTTCTGTTGGGGTATATATTAAAGTTGCCAATCAACCTTTTGGATACACCTGCATAATTCTGATAGGATGTCATGGATGTACGTTGTAACTTTCTCCAGGAAGCAAAAAGTGATTTATAAGCATGACAAATTGTTGAATGAGATCACCACATGACAGTTCTCTGCATTTGGTGAGAGTGTCGCGAGAAAGAAGAGAAACCAAGGAAAGAGAATTTTCACATAGAGAGTCAAATATGTACACTTTAGTGTTGAGTTACCAAATGTAGGTTTTAGAAAACCCTTTTAAGAAAATGGTAAGGGTGTAATTAACATGACCCTCTTACCTGGTTACCCATGAGTATAGTGTGCATTGGAAGAGGAGAAAGGCTGCCTTTGATCCATGTGCTCCTTGAAGTTGGCAGTGATTGTGTTTTACTCGTTCCCAGTGCCCTGCAGTGGCCCCTGTGCCTTGCCCAGGGTGACACCCACCAGTAGAGTCTTCAGAATGTCAGATTAAATTGAGCAGGGTGGGATCTAGCACCACCTGGTTTTGGCTATGTGAAATTCTGTTGTTCGGTGTAGATTCTGTGTGCTCCACTGTGATCAAAGCTCATCTCTGTGAAAGTTTTTGAGGCTGGCAGATGTTTAGTTGTGCAAGGTCTTGTTAATTAGGAGAGGGAGCACATTATCAAAGGGAAGTGTGGCTGTTTCTGTTCTGTCTCTTTTCTTCCTTCAACCCAAAGGTATAAAATTAGGGAAGTTAGTCAGAAACGCAAGGAGGAGGTAGGAATTGTGGGATTTAAAGGTCCCCCTCTTCCAGAAGGTGATTGCTGTTAAAAGATGCTAGATTGTTTGTAAAGTGTGAATCCTCAACAGTCCCCCTAGGTATGTAATTCTGGTACCACACCAGTGTAGAGCAAGCTGGAGTTCCTAAACTTCCATAGATGAGAAGAGGGTGGTCATGAATGTGTGTCTTCCACCAGAACACCGTGCTTCAGAAACATTATTATGGTGAAATATACCTAACAAAATTTTACCATTGTAACCATTTTAAAGTACATAGTTCAGTGGCATTAAGTGCATTCACGTTGTGGTACAACCATCGCCACCATCCATCTCCAGAACTTTTTCATCATCCTGAACTGAAGCTTTATACCTATTAATATATATAATAACTGTACATTCTCCCCTCCCCCAGCTTCTGGTAGCCACCAGTCTCCTTTCTGTCTCAATGAATTTGAATATTCTAGGTATCCCATATAAGTGGAGTCATATGATGTTTGCGGGTTTTTTTTTAGTGTATGTCTGGTTTATTTCACTTAGCATGATATCTTCAAGTTTGATCCATTTTGTAGCATGTATGAGAATTTCCTTCTCCTGGGCATACACTTCAGGACTGTCAGCATCCTTAGCTCTGCACTCAGAGCCCCTCTCTAGGATTAACTCCCAGCACCAGATGCCCATTCAGACAACCTTGTTTCATTTGCACCTTTCTGAAGCAAACAGCATACCTGCTCTCGGGTCTCTATGCCATTGCAAAAGCTGGTCCCTATGCCTGGGATGTTCATGTCATCAGCCTGCTGAATTCCATCTCATTCTTAAGGCTTCCCTTGACTATCACTGTGACAGGGGTTGGGGGGTGTTTACTTGGATCACAGCATGTGACACCATCATGACCATCAATTCCCTTACCTCTTCTTCCCACTCCCTCTTCAGCCTGTGAGTACCTTAAAAGCAAACTCTCCCTTGCTCTTGTGTCTCCCAAATAGCTGACATGAAGTCTGGGGGTACAGTCTGCTTTGTTGTCTCTAATACTTCTCCTGAGTTTTTTTGTTTGTTTGAGACAGAGTCTAACTCTGTCGCCCAGGCTGGAGTACAATGGCGTGATCTCGGCTCACTGCAACCTCCGCCTCCTGGGTTCAAGCGATTCTCTTGCCTCAGTTTCCCAAGTAGCTGAAACTACAGACATGGGCCACCACACCTGTCTAATTTTTATGTTTTTACTAGAGACGGGGTTTCACCATATTGGCCAGGCTGGTCTCGAACTCCTGACCTCAGGTGATCTACCCGCCTCAGCCTCCCAAAGTGCTGGGATTATAGGCGTGAGCCACTGCCCCAGGCCAGTTCTCCTGAGTTTTAAGAAGAGGTGGGCAGCCTGCTAGACAAAGGCCAGACAAGACAGAATCCTCCTCCACTTTTGACGTAAGAAAGAGAACATCTGTGACCATGCAGAGTCATCATCTGGCTCCATGCCCCTTTCTCAGCTCCTCCCCGGGTGGAATTGTACATGCTGGGTTCAGCCTATGGGAGGAGGAAGGGTTTCCTCGAGGACACAGGAACAGCATGTCTCTGATGCCAGATCCCTGCTCTGGGGGCGCTCATCTGTGGCCTCAAGAGATGTATGGCTTCTGTGCCTAGTGCAGAGTTGGGATTGATTGCTCAGTTTAAATGGAAAATTGTTCCAAAAGCAGCAGCTGCCTCTCCAGCCCTGAATGAGAAGAATGTATCTTTCTCTGAGTCCAAAAATATATATATATATATATTATGTAGCACATACTATGTTCAGGGCATCCTTTGAGGGGAAGGTTTGAAATGAGGCCCTTGAAATGAGGCCCCATTCTTCCCTTCAGGGAAGATCTAATCTCAAAGGGAAGCTGGGTAAATGCACAGAATTCATGGCTGTGAGTCCCCTAATTGAGTGGCAGTTGTAAAGCCTGGGGAATGCTGCCACTTTGATTTGCACATTGGCACCTACTATGCTTCAGGACTCTGGGGTGTCAGGGATTGGCATGATAATTTGTCCAATACAAACTATGTGGTGCTTTGTCTAATAGAACAGAACATAGAACATTCTGAGAGCAAAGTTGTCAGATCCATCATTTATTAAGCATTAGTAAGTGAGAGAAAAGAAGGGAAACTGATTGCAAGTGACAGGAATCAAGAGATGATTCCTGAAATGACACAGTCGCAGCACGACAAGGAATCCTGAAAGCCTGGGATGGCCACTCACCTAACCCAAGTCATCAGGTAGCCTGTGCACAGACTCCCCAGTGACGGGGAACTCGCTACCTCTCATGACAGCTTGTTGTGTCTACAAAGAGTTCTGGCTTTTGAAAGTTCTTCATATTCAGCCCAAAATCTCCTCTTGTAACTTCTCCCTTTGTTCTGGGTTTTACCCCTCACCATGCAGAATAAATCTCTCTTCCCAGCATCACCCTTCAGATGTGTGAGGCATCTATAATGGGCCCTGTGAGCCTTTTCTTCTTCCAGGGAAACGAGCCCAGTCTCTGCCTCCCTTCTAGGGGTAGGGATGACACATGAGCTGGGCAGAGGATTAGTAAAGCCCATTTGGATCCTCTCATCTCTACTACGATAATGGTATTAGCAGTAGCTCCAGACAGAAACCTGGCATTCCCCTGCAAACCTGACAGTTCAAAGCCTCAGCTTCACCCAGCCTCTGCAGAGGCTACAGGATGGATGTCTGCTCTAGCAGGCCGCTCTATTCCACTAATCGTGGTCCTGTCCTGAGCACAGGTCTCCTCTGCTCACTGTGGGACACAGGGAGAGGACAGGACAGTAGATAGACAAGCTGTTGAAGCTGCATGCCTGTTCAGTGCTCACGAGACTGTGTAATACGAGCTCTTTAGGAATCCTCTGTGTGTTGAGCGGCTTTAACTTTCAGTACTGAGGAGTTAGAGATGTAGTTGCCTCCTCATACCTGATGCCCCTGGCCATGGCTTGAGGTTACCACCTTTGCCACCTGGAGGTTGTCACCTTTGCCCTGTTGCTGTATCCAAATGAGGATAGATGCTATACACTTTAGCAATACAGTGCTTGCCTGCGAATATGATTAGTTGTGCTTTCAAATGCCACTTGTGGTTTTCAAAATCATTGTCTATTTAAGGTATTATGTTTTGTTAACTACTATGTTATTTTTTTTAAATGTGAGTATCTTATAGCAACTGTGAGACTAATGCTTCCTATGAAATATTTCATTTTATAGTCACAGCAACCCCGTGAGTTGGTGTTACGCATCTTGAACCAATGCGGGAACTAAAGCTTAGAGAGAGAAATTCATCTGATCTATTTCACACGGCTTAGTAATGAGTAGAACTGGGATTTGAAACCAGCCTGCCAGTCTCTAATGTCTGAACTTTTAGTCAATATCCTTTTTAAAAAAGATATATTTCCAATGGCTCACGCCTGTAATCCCAGTACCTTGGGAGGCCGAGGCGGGTGGATCACCTGAGGTCAGGAGTTTGAGACCAGCCTGGCCGACGTGGTGAAACCCTGTCTCTACTAAAAATACAAAAATTAGCCGGGGATGGCGGTGGGCACCTGTAACCCCAGCTACTCGGAAGGCTGAGGCAGGAGAATTGCTTGAACCCGGGAGGCGGAGGTTGCAGTGAGCTGAGATTGCGCCACTGCACTGCAGCCTGGGCAACAGAGCAAGACTCTGTCTAAAAATAAATAAATAAAAATTCACCCATTTGTAGTGTATAGTTCATGGGATTTTAGTATATTCAGAGATGTGAACCTCACCACAATCCAACTTTAAAGTTTTCAACTCTCCCTAAAGAAATCCTGCATCCATTAGCAGCCAGTCCTCATTTTCCCATTACCGCTGCCCTAGGCAGCTACTAATCTACTCTCTGTCTCTGCAGAACTGCCCATTGTAAGCACTTCCTGTAAAAGTAATAATATACAACATGTGGCCTTTTTCTGTTTGGTGTCTTTGACTTAGCATGACATTTTCAAGGTTTGTCCACATCATACCATGTATGGAATTCCTTTTTATGCCACAATAATATTCCATGGTATGGCTAAACCACATTTTGTTTATCCATTCATCGGTTCGACTGACATTTAGGTAGGTTGTTCTCATGGTTTTTGTTTTGTTTTGTTTTGTTTTTTGGTGTTTTTGTTTTTGTTTTTGTTTTTTGAGACAGAGTCTTGCTCTGTCGCCCAGGCTAGAGTGCAGTGATGCGATCTTGGCTCACTGCAACCTCCACCTCCCGGGTTCAAGCAATTTTCCTGCCTCAGCCTCCTGAGTAGCTGGGATTACAGGCACCCACGACCGCACCCAGCTAATTTTTGTATTTTTAGTAGAGACGTGGTTTCACCATATTGGCCAGGCTGGTCTCAAACTCCTGACCTCGTGATCCACCCGCCTCGGCCTCCCAAAGTGCTTAATTATTGTGAATAATGCTGCTATAAACACTCACATAAAAGTTTTTGCATGGATGTGTGTTTTCATTCTCCTGGTACATATGTACCTAGAACGGAATTGCTGGTCATATGGTAACTCTGTGTTTAGTATTTTAAGGAACTCCTCGGGTGCCTGTAATCCCAGCTACTCGGGAGGCTGAGGCAGGAAAATTGCTTGAACCCGGAAGGCGGAGGTTGCAGTGAGCCGAGATCGCACCACTGCACTCCAACCTGGGCAACAGAGCAAGACTCCATCTCAAACAAAAAAAAAAACAAAAAAAAAAAAAAAAGGGGAACTCCTAAACCATTTTCCAAGGCAACTGGACCATTTCTTGGCCACTGTTCTTCACTGCATTTTTGAGTAAAGAAATCACGTCTTTGGTGTTGCGGATAACCTTTCCCACATCCCTTTTATTCTAGTTCAGCAACTCATCTGGTGGTTTTGGACCTCCTTGCACAAAACAGCCATGCTGTAGAGTTTCTGAAGCATACCTGATTCGAACCTCAACCTGAACTCACCACCTCAGTGACCTTGGGTTTTTCAGCTATTCTTTCTTTCTGTATCAGACAAATGAATGGATGTGAGGATTCAATGAGATATGATGTGTAAAAGCCTGGTACGAGGCCTAGAGCATAGCAGGGACTCTTTCATTCACCCAGCACTTGTGCTTCAATTTCTGCTGTGCACCGTAAAAGCATGTGGCTTGGGAGGCTGAGGTGGGCAGATCACGAGGTCAAGAGATCGAGACCATCCTGGCCAACGTGGTGAAACCTTGTCTCTACTAAAAACACAAAAATTAGCCAGGCGTGGTGGCAGGCGCCTGTAGTCCCAGCTACTTGGGAGGCTGAGGTAGGAGGATGGCGTGGACCCTGGAGGCGGAGCTTGCAGTGAGCCGAGATCACGCCACTGCACTCCAGCCTGGGTGGCAGAGCCAGACTCTGTCTCAAAAAAAAAGCACGTGGCAGGATATGCAGGATACGCAGAGGTGGGTGGCACCTATACAACATTATATTTGGAGGCTGGAGAAAGGCAGGCCTCCACTCCTTCTTGCCTGTTGAACTTCACCGCTCCCTGCATGCCTGCTCCGTGGTTCACTTTCTGCAGACACCCTCATGTCCCTTCTTTTCAGAGCAAATAATTCTCCCTCCGTCTCTGGCCCTTTACACCTGCTCTTCCTTCGTACTGGAACTTTCTTTCCTCTGTTTCCTAGGCGACCATCCCACCCTTGCTTGACTGATCTCTGCATGTTTTTCCAACCTCAGCTCACCGCCGCTGTCACTGCCTGGGGAGTGTGTCACCTGTCCAGATAGGTTCCTACAGTTTTTTTTTTTTTTTTAAGATGGGGTCTCACTCTGCCATCCAGGCTGGAGTGCAGTGGTGCAATCTCGGCTCACTGCAGCCTCCGCCTCCTGGGTTCAAGGGATTCTCCTGCCTCAGCCTCCTGAGTAGCTGGAACTACAGGCGCCTGCCAGCATGCCCGGCTAATTTTTTGTGTTTTTAATAGAGAGATGGGGTTTCACCACGTTGACCAGGCTAGTCTCAAACTCCTGACCTCAGGTGATCTGCCCGCCTCAGCCTCCCAAAGTGCTGGGATTACAAGCGTGAGCCATCATGCCCACCCAGTTCCTCCTACTTTGTACCTCCACAAGCACCTGTGTTTCCCCTTCATAGCACATGGTTGTCATTTTACACTGAAGTGCATTTGCATGACTGTGTAGCTAACGTCCATGTCACCCACTAGACTATAAGCCGTTGAAAATCACTTGCTTTGGGCTCGAAGGACGGCATCACCCACATCATGCCTGGGTGAGTGGAGAGTCATAGTCCAGGCCGCCTGCCGCCCCATCTGGATGCCAGGCCTGGCGTTCAATTCAAATAAGTGTTGATGGACAGCCAGGTGGTAAGCAGGTTGAGATTAAGAACGACTTGGATCATTTCCTAACAATTCCAAGAAAGAAACCCAGAGCACATTGAGATCAGAATCGAGGGCTGCCAGTGGGCAGTTTCAGGGAAACCAGCCCATCTCCCACTCTATATTCAAGTTAATTAATCCTCCCTCATCTCCATCCTCCTCTCCCCTGTGGCCACCGCCAGCTACTGATCATCGCAGGTGTAAGTGTCCAGATTCATGCCCCCTAGGGCCTGGCTCCTTTTGCAGCAAACACAGAGGCGATCTCCCATCCTCTCCCCAAGTCAGCGTCTTCTGTTTCCTGCTCCTGTTTTTGTGAGGAGCAGCCCCTTTCCCCAGCCCCTCTGCCGCTCACTGCCTTTGAAGTATACATAATAAACTTTTACAGATGGTGACAAGAAAAGCTACATTAGCTTCGTCCCTTACTTGGAGAGTGGCTCTAATCCACTCTCCTTCTGAGTATGACTCTTTAATGTACCATTTCAATTCTTTCCCTCTCAAATACAGCCCTGGAGCTTCTTTGAAGTGTCACCCTCCACCCTCCGTCTTTGATTCCTCCTTAGGGTGTTCTAATCATGGAGGGTCCTAGGCTGTCCAGGAAGCCTTCCATGGGCGCCCGCACCTCCACCCAGTCTCTAAACCCTTTTCACTGGTCTCATAATGATAGTTGTCCCTCTCCCCTGAGCTAGCACCTATGCTGGGAGTGAATGATCTTCTATTTCTTCTGGGGCTAGCAATCCTTCCTGTAGTTTAGCTGTGAATTTCCATTAAGCCACTTGTTTGGATGGGCTTCTGTGAAAGCCACTGTTGAAGTAATGATGATAATGATCCATTCCATTTATTGATAATGCCACTCATTAGATTAATGGCTTCCTGTGTACTGCCTTATTTAATCTCCCAACAATCATGTAAGCAAAGGTGCTTTCATCATCCCCATTTTATGGATGAGGACACAAAGACTTAGAGTGGTTAAGTAGTTTGCCTGAAGTCAAAGAGTCACCAAAGAGTGATTCTGCAGTTAGAGTCAGGCAGAGGGATGCTCCACTGTGCCCTTACCCACGTTGTAAACCAGGAAGCTATGAGACCAATTTTTCTTTAACAAATTCACTAGAATTTTTATATCCAAATAGTCTCCTGCGGGAGATTCCACACTTTAATGATGTTTTTCTTTTGCTTTAATTGTCAACATCATGGTCCTCAAAGAGTGTTTGTACCTATAATTGAACAGGTAAGATTAGGAGTTTTCGAAGATTGAGATAAAGTAAGTGCCTTGCTAATTCCTTTGCTGCCTGAAGATGTTCCAAAGCTTAAATTGAATGGTCTTTTGAGAAAATCATCTCCCACTTAGCACCTAACTGTTGGCAAAGCAGCGTGCTAATCATGGGGGATTCAAAGGTGAATTAGACCCACTTCCTACTTTGAGAGGCTTTTATGTGTAAAAGAAAAAAGAAACATAGAAGCAGACTTACATATTATCTTATAGATGTACATGATACATATATTTCAATGTATACATGGTATCTTTATGATATAAAATTACATATTTTAGTCCAGTCGTGGTGACTCACGCCTTGTAATCCCAGCACTTTGGGAGGCCGAGGCAGGCAGATCACCTGAGGTCAGGAGTTCGAGACCAGCCTGACCAATGTGGTGAAACCCCGTCTCTACTAAAAATACAAAATGTAGCCAAACATGGTGTCCCGCGCCTGTAATCCCAGCTACTCAGGAGATTGAGGCAGGAGAGTCGCTTGAACCTGGGAGGCGGAGGTTGCAGTGAGCCGAGATTGCACCATTGCACTCTAGCCTGGGTGGACAGAGCGAGACTTCATCTCAAAAAAGAAAAAATTTACATGTTTTATCTTTACATATCTAATACCTATTACAACACATAATTGCGTAAGATGCTGTAGGAACTGACAGAGGAGCTTAGGACTCCTCATGCCTATAAGTCAATAAAATCTCTACCATATTGAGTTAAATAATGAAGGAATGGATTGCTTCATTTAACTGAAAAAACAGAGATAGGACAGGTGTCACGGGACCCTGGCTCACTTCTCCAAGGTTCTCTCATCCGTGTCCTCGGGCTGGCTCCCCTTTTGGTAGTGGATGATTTCCATCTGCCCCTGGGGCTGCAGGCTTCCACTTTTCATTTCTCAGAGAGGAAGAGTCCTGTGCTGCACCATGATCGTGCCATCTCAGGTCACATGCCCATTCCTTAACCAATCGTTATAACTAAATAAGTGGATAATTGCCATCTGCCTTAGTTAGACAGGGCCCATACTTTGAACAGGGATGAGGTCAGTCCCATCTAAACCGAACGGCTGCCACAAAATGAGAGAAGAGAGTAGGAAATAGGAGGAAGCTGTAAGCACTAGCCGACTATAGGCACCTTCCTTTGGCGAATCCTGTTCAGGGCAGAAAGCCCTGGGCTTGGGTTCCACTCTGACCCTAGAGTCCACCCTGCTACTAAGCACAGCCTCAAGGTGTGGAAGGTAGTGGGTAAACTGCAGTGTCAAAGAGGCTGCTCCAGATGTCTGTCATCCCAAAAGTTATATACACAATTGCCTTTAAAGCCACAAGAGTCTCTGTTTTATACTGTTTTATTTCAATTTTTTTTTAAATTTTTTGTTTATTTATGTATTTATTTTTTTGAGACGGAATCTCCCTCTGTTCCCCAGGCTGGAGTGCAGTGGCGCGATCTCGGCTCACTGCAACCTCCGCCTCCTGGATTCATACCATTCTCCTGCCTCAGCTTCCCAAGTAGCTGGGACTACAGGTCCCCCGCCACCACTCCCGGCTAATTTTTTGTATTTTTAGTAGAGATGGGGTTTCACCCTGTTAGCCAGGGTGGTCTCGATCTCCTGACCTCGTGATCCGCCCACCTCGGCCTCCCAAAGTGCTGGGATTACAGGTGTGAGCCCCCGCGCCTGGCCTGTTTTATTTTTTATAAAGAACACGCCCTGCTATCCTCTGTTAGTACTTATCTTATTTACATGATTTGGAAGTGCATGGGAATGTTGGCTTGTTCTGAAAATTAAATCAGCTCTGAAAGGGAAAGATATGCCAACCCTTAGGTGTTTAGAAGAGTATGTTGTAGGATCTGAGTGCAGTTCCAAGACATTCGGCTGCCGCAGTGGTGATTTTAACAATAGCAGCATCGTTAATATATGTATCCAGCCTCCTTGATGACTGTTCTGGAGAAGAAGATGTTCTAATCACAGCTTGCTTTTTCCTACCAAGTCATTCTAAAAAGTTGTAGAGATTATTTTAAGAGAACAGCCCTGCCTGAAGGACTGTTACTGTTATTTGAGGCTAAAGGAAATCTTGCAATTTGCAAAAAAAGTTAAATCTGAACCCTCCCCTCCACCGTGGGGGCCAGGGACAAGGCACAATTCCATTTCCACCCCCCAGCTTTCTTATTGGAAAAATAAACACCCCTGCCAGACACAGTGGCTCACACCTGTAATCCCAGCATTTTGGGAGGCCGAGGTGGATGGATCACTTGAGGCCAGGAACTCGAGACCAGCCTAACCAACATGCCGAAACCCCGTCTCTACTAAAAATACAAAAAAATTAGCTGAGCATGGTGTTACACGTCTGTAATCACAGCTACTCGGGAGGCTGAGGCACGAGAATCGCTTGAACGTAGGAGGCGGAGGTTGCAGTGAGCCGAGATGATACCACTGCATTCCAGCCTAAGCGACAGAGCAAGACTGTCTCAAAAATAAACAAACAAACAAATAAATAAATGAAAAGTAAGCACTCTGTAACTCTTGCTTTGTACAGTGTAGATGAACTGAGATGAAGTACGCAAAGGCTCTTCTAAACCACTAAGATGCCAGTAATATATGATTGTTATCGTTAGCATCAGTTACTTATATGAACTACAGATATTTAGCAGTGTTAGGAAAAAGTTAGAAGTAATTAATAATATATTGATGCCTTCTTCTAGAAGAAGAGTTACTGTCCTTTATTGAACATATACTGGACACTTTGTATGTTTTGTCACATCGAAAAATTGACAAGAATGCAGCCCTAAGCTTCTGGCAGTGATCTTATGTGAATGATCTCTACTGAAGCACAAGACTCTTTTTAGACACTGTGCAGAATAATTATGATAGCTGATATTTACATAGCCCTTACTCTGGGCCAGTCACCAGAAGGCAGGCATTGTTATTTTTGTCCCTAGTTTATAGTGATGAAACTGAGACATGGAGTGGTCATTTCATTTGCCTAAGAAAATAGCAGGCTGGGTTTGTTGGCTCACACCTGTAATCCCAGCACTTTGGGAGGCCAAGGTGGGTGGATCACTTGAGGTGAGGAGTTTGAGACCAGCCTTGCCAACTTAGTGAAACCCTATCTGTACTAAAAATACAAAAATGAGCCAGGCATAGTGGCATGCACTTGTAGTCCCAGCTGTTTGGGAGACTGAGGCAGGAGGTTCGCTTGAACCAGGGAGTCAGAGGTTGCAGTGAGCCAAGATTGCACCACTGTACTCCACATCCTGGGTGACAGAGTGAGACTCCGTCTCCAAGAAAAAAAAAAAAAAAAGAAAAGAAAAGAAAATAGCAGAACTAGTTTCCAACTTCCCTGAGTCTGGAATTTGTGTCCCTACATATACTGCCTTTCCAAGTATCAGATTTCTTCAGAAAGAGCCTATTTTTATGAACAAGATCCCAAACAAAAATAAACAGAAAGCAAAAATAAAATGAAAAAGATAAACCAAACAATGTTGAATTTATTATTTACTTCCTGATAGGCAAGAGAACAGATGCCCATGTAAAAATTTACTGAGTGCATCACAAAGAGAAAAATTAGGAGTTTTTAAGTGCAGAAGTGGGATAAAAGAGGTGGAATGAGAGATAGAGTCTGAAAACTGTTTTCTGGGCAGGACCTAATGAGTTCATAGATTTGTACAAAGTTGTTGAAAACGATAGCGTAGTTCATTGGCCGGAAAAGAAGAGTGTTTCTTTAGTCCTGTCGTGGTCCATTCAGGCTGCTAACAACATAGCGTAAACAGAACGGGTCATAAACAGAAATTTATTTCTCACAGTTCTGGAGGCTGGGAAGTTCAAGTTGCTGGCAGACTCAGCTTGGTGTCTTGGTGATTGCCCTTTTCCTGGTTCTTGGATTACCCTTCTTGCTGTGTCCTTACTTGGTAGAAGAGGCAGGGTAGCTCTCTGTGCCTCTTTTATAAGGGCATTAATCTCACTAATGAGGACTTCGCCCTCATGATATTATCACTCACCGTGATGGTTAAGATTGAGTGTCAACTTGATTGGATTGAAGAATGGAAAGTGTTGTTCCTGGGTGTGTCTATGAGGGTGTTGCCAAAGGAGATTAACATTTGAGTCAGTGGACTAGGAAAGACAGACCCACCCTCAATCTGGGTGGGGACAATCTAATCAGCTGCCAGCACGGCCGGAATAAAAGCAGGCAGAAGAACGTGGAAAGACTAGACTAGTTTAGTCTTCTGGCCTCCATCTTTCTCCTATGCTGGATGCTTCCTGCCCTCCAACATTGGACTCCAAGTTCTTCAGCTTTGGGACTCGGACTGGCTTCCTTGCACCTCAGCTTATAGATGGCCTATTGTGGGACCTCAACTTGTGATTGTGTGAGTCAGTACTCCTTAATAACTTCCCTTTATAGAAGCATCTATCCTATTAGTTCTGTCCCTCTAGAGAATCCTGACTAATACACTCACAGAGGTACCACTTCCTAATACCACCACACTGAGGACTAGATTTCAACATAGGAGTTTGGAGGAACACAGACCCTCAGACCACAGCAGATCCAGTTAGAGTCTACCGTGATCATGACCCCTTTATGGCTTCAGCTGTTTCAAAGCAGTAGCATTGAAATACAAACTTTAGTTTTTTTGTTTTGTTCTGTTTTGTTTCGTTTTTGAGACAGAGTCTCACTCTGACTCAGGCTGGAGTGCAGTGGTGTGATCTCGGCTCACTGCAACCTCCGCCTCCCAGGTTCAAGCAATTCTCCTGCCTCAGCCTCCCGAGTAGCTGGGATTACAGGCACATGCCACCACGCCCAGCTAATTTTTGTATTTTTAGTAGAGACAGGATTTCACCATGTCTGTCAGGCTGGTCTCGAACTCCTGACCTTGTGATCAGCCCGCCTGGGCCTCCCAAAGTGCTGGGATTACAGGTGTGAGCCACCACGCCCAGCCAAACTTTAGTTTTGCTCTGTCCTGGGCAAGTGCTACAGGGGATGGAAAACTTGTTTTTACACTATATAGCATGCACTGCATAAGGCGACCAAGGCAGTCAAGGGCTTGGGAGAGCGTAAATAAGCAAGACAATTCAGATAGCGGTCAGTGCTATGAAAGATGTAAGACTGCAACACGATGGAGACTCAAAGGAAAGTTCAAAGGATGAGAAGCTTCCGCCAAGAGAAGATGCTGTGGAAGTGTTCTAAGCAGAGGGAAGGCAGATGCAAAGGAGAGAGCCTGTGATGTTTGATGGAGAGAAAGGAGGCCTCTGTGTGTCCGGGGGGTGGGGGTGTGGGTGGGGAAGAGAGTGTTAGGCAGTGGAATCATGTTCACGTGGGCCTTGCTGATGAATTGCAGGGAGAGAATAGAGGGAACGAGGAAATCAGCCACAGTTCCAGACTGGGATAGCATTACTGAGTGGAGTGTGGCTCTCCCCTTGAGCCCTAGGGTGCAGTTATCTGCATAGAGGCAGCGCCAAGAGAGGACAGAGACTTGAGGAGAGTTGCCTGCCCTCTCCCAGATTTGCCCTGTGATCCCAGAGAGCCGATTATCTTTCTTCACTGTGATTTTGCAGAACCTGCAGGCAGTTTGGAAACAGCACTGGCAAAGGAGAAAACGAGACTCAGATTTCTCATCCTAGCTGTGACAGAGATGCCAAGTAACCTAGTGGCTTTGTGCAAGTCCTTTAATCTCACAGAACCTCATGTTTCTCATCTGCAAAATGAGTGTAAGATTAGTTAAGCTGCCTACCTGTTAGGGTAGTTGTGAATATCAGTTGGGAAAATTGGTGGGAAAAGAGCTTGGAACCATTTAAAATATACAGATTTGTGAGGAATCAATGCTATGGATCTAACCAATTAAAATAGAATATGGTGGCATGATAGCTAATCTTTTAATGGAATCATTGTCATTTTCTTCTACCATTTTGAGCACTAACTGTGTTAAACACCGTACTGAGCACTTCCACATACATTAATCTTTGTTATATTTTAGAAGCAGCTCAGTCACTTTATTCATTTACGTAAGCTGTCAAGTAGCATTTAACCAAGGGAAACGTCCTCAGTTAATCTTCACAACAGCACACACAAGCCATCTCCATTTTATGGGTAGGGAAACTGAGGCACATCAGTTCAATTCATTGCCCAGGACCCAATAACCTATAAGTGGAAAAATTCCAGATCCACAGCCAGGGCTTTTTGGCTTCAGAGCTCATCAAAGACCATATGCAAAGCTTTCTCTCAGCACAGCTTTATACAGCTGTTGAGCATCAATGCTGTCTATAAATTAGTGTTCAAACTTGGCATCTGTGCTGAAGAGCTTAAAAGTTAATTTCTCGTATTTGTCCTTGGACCTGTGTTAGCCACGGAGTGGGCATCGCCTTGCACAAAGTAGCACCTTTTAAATGAGAGCCTTCACTAGAGATTGAGCAACTGCTGCGTACTTTGCAAATAGAAAGTGTCTTGTGACTGCCACCCAGTTGGAAGATGTAGAGCCCTTGTCAGCACCTGGGTTTGGAGGGTCTCTTAATTATGTCAGGAGTCTGGGCACACTGATATTTATTAGCTCTATACTATGCAGATGTGGACCACAGAGGCTGGGTACCTGGAGTCATTGTTTAAAATAAAGGATCTTGAGTGCAGCTGTGTGGCTGTGAATCCCAGCCCCAAGACATCCCAACTAGGTCACCTTGGAAAAGTGGTTCAATCCCTCTGTCTGCAGTTTCCTCATCTGCAAAATGGGTATGATCATACTGCCTACTTCATAGGGTTGCTGCTGTTGTGGGGGTGGGTGTTGATTTGGAACTATCCACATAAATAAAGCATATTGCCCAGTACTTGGACCAGCACTCAGACTTGGCTGTCATCACCATTAGGTTGAACCATTTTATCACCTCCACAAATGTCAGATGTAGACACATTAAAAAATTCCATGCTCAGGCCGGGCACGGTGGCTCACACCTGTAATCCCAGCACTTTGGGAGGCCGAGGTGGGAGGATCACCTGAGGTCAGGAGTTCAAGACCAGCCTGGCCAACATGGTGAAACCCCGTCTCTACTAAAAATACAAAAATTAGCTGGACATAGTGGCGCGCGCCTGTAATCCCAGCTGCTAGGGAGGCTGAGGCAGGAGAATCACTTGAACCCGGGAGGTGAAGGTTGCAGCGAGCCGAGATCGCACCACTGCACTCCAGCCTGGGCGACAGAGCAAGACTATGTCTCAAAAAAAAAAAAAAAAAAAAAAAAGGCCACCATGCTTGTAGAGCTATCCATTTGGATAGAGATGGTTTTAGCAGGAAGGAATTTGAAAGAGGACCCTCGAGTTATGTGCCAGAGCACTGCTACTCTTCTCACTTACACAGGCATTAAACACAATTTTGAATTTAATGGGATACTCTGATAATTTCTCTTTTGTCCTGAAAATGGATTGTTAGAGAGGAAGCATCACAGCAGAGTATGTTGCCTTTCAAAACAGGGTGCGCATTGCCCACCCGCCGCCCGCATTTCCCTCCTCCCTCCCTGTGGAGATTCAGCTTTTATCAGATACTGTTCAAAGCCCCCAGGACAAGGACAGGACGTCCTTTCATATGAAAGTAATTTAAAACATGTTTTGTTTTGTTTTGTTTTCAGTTAGCACACAACCATATTATGAGGTAAAATTTAAAATGTGCACAATTGATTAAAAATTGAGACTTCAAAGAAATCACTCGCTCATTGGCAGGCTAATTTGGGCTGTATATTCGTTCTCAAGGGCTCTTAGGAATTGTGTAAGTGAAAGAATTTGCAAAGCTCCCGGAGCTTGCAGCCTGTGCCTTCAGACACAGCAGCACGGAGTCCCCACTCTGCTTCCTGTTTACTGTGCAACTGGAGTTTGTTACTTAGAGGCTTAGTTTCCTCTGCTGAAAATCAAGATAGCACTTTCCATTTCAAAGGGTTTGAGGGGACAAAGGAGATTCACAGATGTAAAGGGAAAGTGTGGTGCCCAGGAGGTGGTTTGCACCCAGTGTAGTCCCCCCACTCCTTTGCCTTCACTTGAAAGACGCAAAAGTGTCACTGGCAATGTTGTGCACAGAGCAGACGTCAGAGAATCAAGATGGGCCTGCTTCCTGCCATGGACTTTGGACCCTGCAGCCCCAGCTTCTTGCTCTTTGTGCCTCTCAGCTATAGGGGCTTAATCTGGGAGCTTGGAGTGTCACCATGCCTCCCTTGCATCTCCCTCAGTGATGCATTGGCTCATCTGTCACCTGCCAGTGGCCGACAAGGCCCCATCAGTCTTGCTGTTACCTATTTATCTACCTGCTTTTTCTTCTTTCTGTCATCACTCATTTAGTAATTCAACACTATTCTGGCACCCACTCTGTTCAGAACACTGCCACTGATACTTTTGTATCTTTCTATTTTGAAATATTCCATGAAACTCTTCTTACCATTTGTGGAGCCATAAGGCCACATCAAGGGGTCGGCCTTTCATCTCAGCAAAAATTTTGCATTTCAGCTGCCTCGGGAATGGTTTTCTTTCCCCTCGACCTTGTCTTTATTTCATAGTAATTTAGCCACATCTTGAATTCCTCGTCTTTTCTGTTTGAGTTTGACAGTTTTATTTTGTTTCAACTATGCAATACTAGCCTTCAAGACTGATAAATTCATATTATTCCAAAGCTTTTAGTACCTACCCAATGGTGGGCACAAAAATGGGGCTGTAAGATCGACTTATGATTAAGTTCCAATTTCAGATTAAGTGGTTTATTGTCTAGGCAGAGCTCCTTGTGATTTCTCCTTTATAGGCAAAGAGCTGAGGCTCAGGAGAAATCCAGGCAACCAACATTTTAATTAAAAGGAAGTTTTGAGAAGATTCTTTCATCTTCAGAATTTTCTCTCACCTTGAAGTGAGCGTCGAGCATTGTCTTTTAAATTATTGAATCTGGGCTGGATGGGATAGCTCAGTTGGGAAAATGCGTTCATCTTTTTTAACTACTTTTATCAGAGGTTCTGTCTGACCCTCCATGCATGTGGGTATAATGACCCCAACCTCTTTCTAGCTGTATGCAGTTATATGTAAAACCGCTTCCTGCTCTTTCCTACATAAAAATTCTTGCATTGTATTTTTACATTATTACATGTAGTGGGTGGCCAGCTATCAGGAAACAGCATTTTAGTGCCCTCGAGCTTTTAAAATGTCCCTAAATTTGGAGGTAGACATAGAACAACAATACTATTAACAATTCCATATACTGTGTACCAACACTGTCATATTAAGAGATGTATATCCTCTCAACTGCCCTGAAAGCAGCTTTGTGTTGTCCTAATTTTACAAGAGAAGATCCTTGTAAACAAAGATGTGTCTGGCTGAGGTGGTCTCACAGCAATTGAAGGGGATGTTTGGGTCTCAGGCTCAGGTTTGTCTGGCTGGGCTGCTGAAATTCTTGCCACTTTCTCTCAGAGAACATGTAGGCAACAATAAAGAGAAAAACAGGAGTAAGAGAGAAGAGTACCCAGGAAACTGGCGACAATGGTAGGAAGAGGTGAACAACAGAGAAAACTCAAGAAGTGGAGCAGCTCTGCAGCTCATGGTCACCGGCGAAGAGCTACTAAAGTGTCAGTCCTGTGGGTTTTGCAGACAAAGCATCTCCACCATATTTGAATGTGGAGAGTGTCAGAGATGATGTAAAGAGTCAGTAACTACCTCTAACTTGGGGCAATGCCTTCAAATGTGAACCTTCTCTTTAGTGAGCCGGGAAGCTGTATGGGATTCCCAGGTACTATGGCATCCACTATCAGATTGATCTGACTCTAGTTGGAGACTAAAATCAGAAGCGTTGCAGCAGTGTACTGGATAATGAATGGAGTGATGTAGTTAGAAAACAGTTGGCCTACAAATAATTCTATTTAGAGTAGTAATAGTAGTTATAGAAACAACACATGTTTACTGAGCCGTTTTCATGTTCTTGGCACTGGGCTAAACACTTTACATGCACTATTTCATTTAAATTGCACTATTTCATTAAAATAACATCTCAGTCCTTTGTGAGAGACGAATGAGGTGGAAAGAAAATAAGGACAAAATGACAGGGATTCCTCTTTATTCTCTGGTAGGGAAGCGGGGCAAGGTTCATGGTTGATGTTCCATGGAGCTTCTGGCGTGAATAAATGAAGATGGATAAGACGCAGTCCCAGCCCTTTAGTAATGTGAACTTGGTAGGAATAACTTACCCGAATATATAAATATGATGTAATATTGCATGATGCAGATTAATCAAGTTATTTATAATTTACAATGATCCAGTTGAGGGAGCAAGTAATTATGCCTAAGCAGAGCCCCCCTAGCTCCAGAGGGAAAGTGCTTCTGGAGTCAGGAGTTGGAAAAGGAGGAGAAAGTGGCCAGGGATACAAGGCGGGGAAACCGTGTTCTAGCAAAACAGTAAGATGTGCATGTGAAGTCACTGCCTTCCCTGGGACAGGCACCCTCTTTAGAGACAGCAACACCACCCAGCCCAGCCCCATCTACGCTTGTTCATGTCCACTTAGCACTTCCATTCATCTGAGCGCCTGCAGTGTGGTGTTTGCTTCTTGTTTCTCTCTGCCACTAGGATGTCAGCTCCCTCAAGCCAGGGCTTTGTTTTGTTCATTGTTTCTATTAGTTCGCTTTCATGCTGCTGATAACGACACACCCGAGACTGGGTAGTTTATAAAGAAAAAGAGGGTTTAATGGACTCACAGTTCCACATGGCTGGGGAGGCCTCACAATCATGGCAGAAGGGGAAAGGCACATCTTACATGGTGGCAAACAAGACAGAATGAGAGCCAAGTGAAAGGGGAAACCTGTTATAAAACCATCAGATCTGGTGAGATTTATTCACTACCACAGGAACAGTATGGGGGAAACCACCTCCATGATTCAGTTATCTCCTACTGGGTCCCTCCTACAACACATAAAAATTATGGGAGCTACAATTCAAGATGAGATTTGGATGGGGACACAGCCAGACCATATCATTGTCCTCACCCCAGTGCTCAGAACACTGCCCTGCGCATAGTGAAGTGTTCAATAAAAATTTCTTGAATGAATGATTGACAGTTTGAAAAGACCTGGGAAGGTAACATCTAAATATAAAGAAAGTTGCCCTCTTCCCTCTCCCTCCACGACCACACATTTTGTGATCTTCGTAGCACCTATCACCATTTGTCATTATGTATCTTAAATATTTACTTTTCTGCTGCCTGTTTTCTCCTGCTACAGTATAAGCTCCACGAGGATAGGCATCTGACTTTGCATTCTCTTGTCTTCACCTCTGTAGCCTCAGCACCTAGCATCATATGTAGACATGGAAGCACTTAATAAACATTTGTTGAATGAATGAATGACCAAATGAGACTACTGCTGGTGGACTGAGCAGAGAGGAGGAGGTGGTAAACTACAGTTAGGTTGTGAAGGGGATCATATGTCATGACAAAGACTTTGATAGGTACTCCAGGGAAAGGAGTGCTTTGTGAAGTTTTTCAAGTTGGGTGTTGTGATTACATTTGCACTTCGCAAGGAGCATTTGGTGTGGCCCCAGGGAGATTTAGAGAGGTAGGTTATGTCTAGAATGATGACTGCTTGCATCTTGGAATATTACAAAGCGTTTCCCCAGATTATGATGATTAGCGCATGATTTATTTTTGGGAAACTCTTCCTTAAGTGCTAGGTTATCAGAATTAGTATTGTCAGGGCAAATGATAGTAGGTGAGCCATTTGGCTTAAGGGAATGGATTCTGTATGACTTTTTAATGTCTTTATTTTTATCTTTACTTATTAGTAAAATATAATACTTCTGAATGGTGCTGAACTGTTAGTAACCATAGCTACTAAAGCTGTCCTGTAAAACCATCCAAATACCCCAGAAAGTACTTGTTAAGACAGCCCCAAAATGAGAACAGCCTCACTCTGTTAACCATGAAAAATTATTGAAAACATGCCAACATTTTATTTTACAAACCTCCATGGAATTGACTCTCTTGCCCTGTTGTTCACTTTTCTCTTATTTCTCCTCCCATGTCTTATTTTCCATCCCTAAGCTCTGTCCAACATAACTTTCTGGACTGATGGAAATGTTTTACATCTGCACTCTTTGGTATGGTAACCACTACCATGTGGTCACTGAGCACAGGAGATGTGCCTGGCATGAATAAAGAACTGAGTTTTAATTTAATCCGAGTTTGATTAATTATTTAAATTTAAATTGCCACATGTGGCTAGTGGCTACTGTGTTCAACAAGCACAATTCTAGACATTTGGAAGTCAACGGTGTTTGAAATTTCACCAAGTCCTTTGGGCACCAGCAAAGTGTTTGACCCCAGAACTATAGAAAACCTCTTTTCTGGGAAACAAATGGCAAAATTCCTCCCCAGTACTTTTACTCTGAGGCTAACATGAGTAGCACAATTGAATTAAATAAGATTGTGGTTGATAAGCTGCTTCACACACTGCCTGGCTTCTAGTTAATGCTTAATAAATGATAACAATTATTTAATATTCATGGCAGGCTTAAAGGGAGATAACATGATCTCCACTTTGCAGATAGGGAAACAGAAGCTCAGAGTTTCAACATCAAGTGCCCAAGAGGTCTTGCCGTCAGTGAGCAGCAGAACAGAGCTTCCTTGCCCATGTCGGTGTGTGCTTTCCAGTACACCAGGCCAAGAAGCAGTCTTATTTTCTAGATTTCAGTGAGTTTTATCCTCTTACTCAGCTAAAGGAGGCCATCTCAACAACAGCACAGGCTCTGCATCCTTTGTGGCAGGTTCTTCGTCTTTCTTGATCAGTAAGTCTACTGACCCTGCGAGATGGATAGGCACTTTCTCTGATTACCCAGCTTGGCAGCTGGAGGAAATGCCTTTACAACTGAAGGGCTCTCCAAAGGTCCTGCCTTGAGAAACTCATGAGCCAGAAAAGCAAGCAGAGGAGTAGATACTGGGGAGAAGGACCTTAGGCTGCTGTCAAGAAACCCGTTAGACTGATGCCAATCAGAACAAGAGGAATTGGTGATTTTCATCACCAACATGGAGTGGAGATCAGGGAATTCAGCAGACCTGTGATGAGGACAGGAAGCAGCTTTCCAACTCCTGATGCTAGTGAATTGCATCTGTCTCACCAGTTTGAATAGACTCTTTATCCCGATTGCCTGAATCAGTGTCTTGTTGATGGTACAGGCTCAGTAATTATCCGTCAGATGGATGAACAGGTGAATGAATGAATAATTTGATAAGCATAAGTTTACTGTTGCCCTGAAGCACATTCCTTCTTAAGGGGTTTGTTGGGGCGGGAAGCTTGCTCCTGCAAGCTTGCAGCAATCCAAAAGGGCTAGAGAATAGACTTAGGCTGCAGTCACTCATCCAGAGCGAATGTAAAAAGGAATATTTGTGTCCGCAATTTGGATCTAGCCTTTTGATAAAAGTCACAGAATTACAATAAGAGCACAGTTATATAACCCAGTAAACAGATTTGATAGAGACCTAGATATATTCTTCTAAATGTGTTGCAGAAGTTTCAGCCTCAGATTTCTGAGGATTCTGCAATCTTCAAGCCAAGTTTGGGGGATGAGAGCCGGAGACACTCATGCAGGTCCCCTCTCTCCATCAGAGGGACATGGAGAAAGCACCAGGAGTCAATGAAGATGACTAGATCAACAGTGGATTGTGTAATTCCCATTGGATTCATGAAGTGTGACAGTTGCCAAAGCGGTATTTAAATAAGATTTAGATGAATTCTGTGAAAATTAACTCCCCTGCCTTTTGGTGCTCTTTTTTTCTCTTTCTCTCTGAAGTTGCAGTTAATTTCCCCAATGGATTTCCTCAGTCTTTCCCTGGTGTGCGCTCTCCTCTCTCTCTCTCTCTGTCTCTCTCTCTGTCTCTTCTGTTTAGTCCTGCTGACTCTGCCATGCCATTTTAGGTGCTTTCCATGCTTGATGTTGATGCTCTGTTTGAGATTCCTGTGCTGATTAGCCAATTGATAAACTTAATGAGAAAGCAAAAGCACTTTGTAAACTGTCAAGTCCTGCACCAGTGGAAGGAGGGATAGGTGATCAGATTCTGCTTTCCGTGGCTTTGGTCTAGAGCCCCAGGAACTTCATGCTGTCTTCTCTGTAGAGGCTGTATGATCTCTTCGAACAAAGAGATGGAAGCGCCTTCAGGCACCACCCACACCCAGCCCTCTCATTTCTATCAGTGTGAAACTGAGGCTCAGAGTGGGCAAGCCACATGCCCTGGATCACCCAGAGAGTTAGCAGCAGAGCTGACACGAGAGCCAAGTCTCAGAATATCTTTCCTCTTCTTCCCCTTTGCTGGCAGAAGTGCCAGGGAGCACATCTGCAAGGCCATTGTCCTGAGCGATGGTCCTTGTCTCTAAGAGTTATTTACTGTTGTGAAAGAGAAGCACCTGCTCTTCTTGAGATAATCAGGGCGTATGTATCCCTGGGCCTCAGAGGTGTAGCAGCAAACAAAACAGACAAAAATTTCTGCCCACCTGGAGCTTATATTCTCCCCTGGGGAAATACATAAATGTATATATAGTATGTCAGATGGTGATAAGAGCCATGGTGGAAAATAAAGCTGAGTAAGTGCGGTTGAGAGTGTGAGGGGAGAGGTGATACTGTGTTAAATAGGGGGTGTGGATCAGAGTAGCCTCACGGATAATGTGGCATTGGAACTGATGGTTGAATTTGGGGGATGATCTAACTTGGAACCTAATTTGGTAGAAATCAGGACAAGAGTTTAAAAAACAACGTCTAAGTGACAGAAAGTCATGGAATATTCACTAAAATGTTAACCATCCCAATCTCTAGTTAATGGGATTACAGTTATTTCTAGTTTGCATATTTTTATTTCCTAAATTTCCTGCAAGGAATATGTATTCCTTTTTTTATTTAAAAAAATGAACTCCCCAGCACTTTGGGAGGCCGAGGGGGTGGCAGATCACCTGAGGTCGGTAGTTCAAGACCAGCCTGACCAACATGGTGAAACCCGGTCTCTACTAAAAATACAAAAATTAGCTGGGTGTGGTGGCCCGTGCCTGTAATCCCAGCTACTCGGGAGGCTGGGGCAGGAGAATTATTTGAACCTGGGAGGCAGAGGTTGCAGTGAGCCCAGATCGTGCCACTGCACTCCAGCCTGGGCGACAGAGCAAGACTCTGTCTCAAAAAAAAAAAAAGACTCAGACCGGACGCGGTGGCTCATGCCTGTAGTCCTAGCACTTTGGGAGGCCAAGGCAGGCACATTGCCTGAGCTAAGGAGTTCGAGACTAGCCTGGCTAACATAGCAAAACCCAGTCTCTACTAAAAATACAAAAAATTAGCCGGGCGTGGTGGTGGGAACCTGTAATCCCAGCTACTCAGGAGGCTGAGGCAGGAGAATCTCTTGAACCCTGAAGTTGGAGGTTGCAGTGAGCCAAGATCGTGCCACTGCATTCCAGCCTGGGCAACAGAGCGAGACTCTGTCTCAAAAAAAAAAAAAAAAAACCACCTCATTATTTACTTTGGGTGAGTGGATATCACTCTAGGACAATAAGTGACAATAGTGACAATTGTGGCAATAGTGTCACAAAAATGACAATAAGGAAGAATGGGTAAGAGAGGTCAGAGGATGTGAAGAGGAAGAGAAGCTGAACAGGAATAACCAGACCGGGGGCATGGCTTTAGTCCTGATGCTGCACCTGTTGGCGGATGGGCGCAAAACAGTTTGGAGGAGACAAAGTAAAAGCAACCATTAATTGACTCTTAACTTAAAGTCAGCAAGGCAGTAGAACCCAGCGCTCTCCTGTCGTGGAAGCACCTCTGTCATGGAGGCCAGAATTCTAGTTTTGAAGCTCTGATCTCCAGAAAGAGTCACAGCCCTTCAAAGCCTTCTTGCAAACTGTTCTGTAACATAGCTCTCACTTTAAGATGCAGAAACTCTAAGAAGATGGGAAAAGAGGAAATTGATCATCCTTTAACATTTGTTTTCCAGAAACATTATTCTCTTTCCAAGTATGATTCACAGTAAGATTTATTGGATAAGTCCTGTTGCTGCATTTAAATCATGATGACATTGGTTTTAGAATAAGAAAGATTCTTATATAATCATTACATTGAAACTCCTCAAGGTTAGAGATCTGGCTCATTTTTCTTTGAATCACCCATAGCACCTAGCCCCATAAATATTGATTTTATCAAGAAAGATTGTGTGATGAAGTGAGAGGAACATTAGAACTGTAGCTGACGAATTTTTTAAACCCAGGAACATCAAACTCTTCCCCAAGGTGTCTGTTGTCCCAGGCTCTTTGTGTATTTGGTGAGGTGCAGCTTTAGAAGGTGTCACGTGTACAGCCCGGGTAGATAAATGTATTTGTAGCAATGAGGCCCGTGTCGCGGCTTTTCACTGTCCGCACCCCGTATGCTCAAGGATTCCCAGAAAGTCTAAACTTCCGGCCGTCAAGGTCACGCATCTCACCTTCCAAAGGATGGTGTTGACCGCCTCTGCTGCCAGGCCATGCCCAGCAGCAGGCTGATGAGATGCATGGGGAACAGGGGCCTTGGGGAACAGGATTCTCCACCCTAGCATGCCACTCCTTCCAGATCTCCAATTCTTTCATCCCTGTTTCTGTAGAAAATTCTACAAGCCAGTGGCCCACTTTCCTGCCTCCATCAGTTTAACAGAGTGAAGATAATTTAATCGTCCTTTAACGAGGCAGGATCTTCAGTGCCCTGTGGTTATAATTAAGAGCATCAGCGATCATTACTAGCATTCATTAATGCAGCCCGACCCCTCCTATTTCGTTCCCCTTGGCTACTTCCTTGCCCACACTCACCTGTTTCTTTCCTTAAATGCCTAGAGCTGCTGTTTGACCATCTTTAACCTGCCTCTTCACTGCCCTTGCTCTTTTACCTCTGTCCTTTCTGTCCCTATCTGTTCACCATCACCCTCTCAGTCCTCTGGACATGGGAACTCAATAGCTAATTTTGCATGACACTACCTCTGCCCCCAATATCAGTGTGTTTCCAAGCTTTGGTGGACTGATGGTTGCAAGGGGAAGCATTTCCATTAATAAAATGAAATCTTGGATCTCCAGAGTGGCTCTGGAAGTAAAAATACCTTCCTCTCTAAGAGAGAGAGCTGGATGAAAGCCCGTATTGGGGTCCTCTGAATATGACCTTCTCTGGTGAGGCCTGTCTGCCGAGCCTCCGGATGATGCTATGTAACCCTTAGTGCTGTCACTCAAGTGTGAACCAAATGGAAGGCGGGCCAGCCAAGACTTTTGAAAAGATTGAAATTTTACAAGTAGAAAGGAGGTGGAAGAAAACGATAATAGTAAACAGAACACAAGACACATAACTACAACCTAATGAAGATACACGGCAGAGGTTTCCGGAGCTACATTGGTTGGTTTGCTTCCAGGCCACGTAAGTCCTGTCCATCCCGCATGCAATCTCTGCTTTCCTGATTTCCCAGCATCAGGTAGAGAAGGTGCCATTTGTACCCCCACCTTCCTGGAGCTGCCTCAAGTGCTCAAACTCTTGACATTTCCAGGAACTATGGAGCCAGCTTTCCATTTTGCTTCCCAACACCTCAATAGGGACAAGAGTCTTTTCTTTAAATAGGGTGCCTACAGTCAATAATAATTTCATTGTACATTTTTAAATAACTGAAAGAGTATTATTGGATTGTTTGGTGTTTTTTTTTATTATTATACTTTAAGTTCTGGGGTACATGTGCAGAACGTGCAGGTTTGTTACATAGGTGGCCAAACCATGGCCAGAACGTGCCATGATGGTTTGCTGCACCCATCAACCCGTCATCTACATTTGGCATTTCTTGTAATGCTCTCTCTCCCCTAGCCCCCAACCTCCCGACAGGCCCCAGTGTGTGATGCTCTTTTAACTTGCAGTGAGACCTGCCTTTAACATGCAGGAAGTAGTTTTCCAAATCCAGAAACTGTGAGTCCCTTGAGGATCCCTATTATGTTTTGTTCAACCCTGAGCCCCCAGTTACTGGAACAAGGCTCAGCATAGAACACCATGGCTTAATGCCCGATAAATGTGTGAGAAATACAAAAACAGAAGAAAGGAAAAAGGAAAGAGGAGAAAAGCATGAATAACAACACCTTGTCTTTGCTAATATTATAGCCATCACCGACCCATTGCAAGAGGGATAGAGTCTCCGAGAGGTTTTTCTAGGTTATGACCTTTCTTGCAAGTCAACTTCCAAGACTCCTGCTTTTGACCTCAAACCAAATAATTCTACCTAATTCCTGATTCAAATTGGTCATAAAATGTAGCAATCATTTTGATAACACTTAACAGTTCAAGAAGTGCTTTCAGTTAGATTTAAGAGCTAGTTTGTGGAGTACAGTAGATATGATGATGATGGTAATAATATCTGGTAGGTAGTGAGAAAGCTGAAAATCAAAGAAGTTGACCTAACTGTCTGGTAGGTAGGAAAGAAGGAAACTCTAATGCAGGTTTCCTCACTACAGATTCTTGACTCTGTCTGTGACCTGTATGTCACTCAAAATTTTATTGTCCTAAATGAGGTGGCCACTGCCTGACTTTTGCTAAGAGAACTGGTGCCGGTCTCTTTATGACCAATTTTTACATCATCTGTCAACCTCTGTTTCAGTTGGCAGTTGCTCTAACGGGCAAGGTTTACCCAGGGAATATCCACCTTGAATGTTGGCAGTTGTTCTAACGGGCAAGGTTTACCCGGGGAATATCCACCTTGAATGAAATCTCTGCTCATCCAACAGAAAAATTAGTGATATACCTGCCGTGAATGGTGGTGTTTCTCTTATCTGCTTTAGTATGGCTTTACTGGTACTGTTTGACAAGAAGACAAATGAAAAATTCATAGGGTGCATGAGAAGAGGTAACAAAACACCATTAAATTTTTGTTTGAAACAAACTATTCTAGAAAAAATGTGCACCATAGATTAAAAATCATGGATCAGTATTTCGATATGTAAAATGTTCCTACAAAGCATTTAAAAAAATAATGGCCCACAGACATGAATGTTCTCCACTGAAGAAGTAAACCCAAATAAGTCATTTAACACATAAAAAAAACTCTACTTCACAAAGTAAACAAAAAATTGAAAACCAAAGCAGTAATTAAACACTGGCAGTGCTTAAAAAAAAAAAAATGTGTGTGTACGTGTGTGTGTGTGTGTGTGTGTGTATCTATAGTGCCAATGATAATAAAGGTATGAAAAATGTAAATACTTCTCCTTGCTGGAAGAAGTATAAATCACTAAAGCGTTTTTTTTTTGCAGGGCAATTTTAAAGTATGTATCTAAGTTTTAAAATATGTATATATTTGACACAGCCATTTCATTTCCAGGAAATTATAAGAGATGAGAATAGGGAGCTTTTAGTATTATTTATGATGAGGAAATTTTGAAAACATAGGCAACTTCCAAAAACAGATAAATTTAAATTTAAGTTGTTAAATTTTGGTATATCCATACAATTGAATAACATGGAAATCATACATAAAATGTGGAGTGTCGACATGAGGAAATGTTAATAACGTATTTATAGAACAGCTGCTAAGAGTAAGTAGGTTATATAGTAATTCTACCGTTATCCTGTTTTTGTCAAAATATATCTGTATATCTAAACACATAATAAAAGTCTAAGACTGCATTATAAAATTATCTCTAAGTGATAAGATTGCAAGTAACTTACTCTTTTTGTGTTTTTTCAAGTGTGCACATTTTATGAAAGGAATTTTTTTTGTTTTATCATCAGAAATAAAGATAAAATGCATCCAAAGTTATTGGAAACATGAAATTTGATTTACTGAGATTTCATTTACATGCAGCCCTTGGAGAATATATACATTACTTAAAGCAGGGCCTGGTTCTCCTCTACTGGAAGAAGGCTGCTTTCTGGAAAATACTCCCTGGGAGCACAGGAACCTCTACGGGGCTCACCTCCCCTCCCTGGGCAGAGAACCAGAGAAATGAGCAGGAGATTATACCCGCTTGACTTCTTGTTCTTATCCTTTTTGATTAAAAAATACATCAAGACATGAGATGGATGGAAAAACCCATAAAAATTGTTTTACTGCATCATAAAAGGCTTACATTTCTGACATTAGGATCATGAAGGGATTAATTGATACTGTCACTCTCTGTATTTCTAGCAGAACACACTCTAGCTGGGATGGCGCAGCCCTGCTCCGAGGTCTGCGTGAAGCCGTCCAGGGTGCCTGTTCCTTGCGCCTCGGTTGTCATTCACTCTCTGTGTTCAGTTTAGGCACCGTTGCTTTGAGTAGCTCCTGGGGGGCAGGGTCAGCGTCTTGATGTAGTCACTGAACTTTGTACATTGCTTGACCGATAAGAGGCATTCTTGCCGGGCACAGTGGTTCACGCCTGTAATCCCAGCACTTTGGGAGGTGGAGACAGTCAGATCACCTGAGGTCAGGAGTTCGAGACCAGCCTGGCCAACATGGTGAAACCCCATCTCTACCAAAAATACAAAAATTAGCTGGGTGTGGTAGTGCACACCTGTAATCCCAGATACTCGAGAGACTGAGGCACGAGAATTGCTTAAACCTGGGACACAGAGGTTGCAGTGAGCTGAGACTGCACCACTGTACTCCAGCCTGGGCGACAAAGTGAGACTCTGTCTCAAAAAAAAAAAAAAAAAGTCATTACTTTTGTTAGTATCCCTTGCCCCTCATTTTGATTTACATAAATATTAAAATATTCTAGTAATTGTGGGGAACAAACAGATCAGGAAGTAATCTCAGAGCAATTTGATTTGTTGGTGAGTAGGAATTATTTACTGCTAATTTTCCAAATAGTAGCTTGGCTTATTCAGTCATTCATCCTTTCATTTAAGAAACATTGATTTAGTTTCTGTTATATGCCAGGCACTGTTCTAGTCCTGTTGACTGTAGAAATAACTGACAAAGTCCCTGTTTCTATGGAGTTTATCTTCCCATGGAATTGAGACCAGATCTTTCCTTCCTTTCTCCCTTCCCTTTCCCTCTTCCTTCTGTTTGTTCATCCAATAGTCCATCCAGTCATCCATTCATTTTATCCACCCATCATTTGCTGAATGCTCATCAGGTGCCAGATGCTGTGCTAGGTGTTGGAGGATACCAATAAACAAGACCATGTTCCTGTTCTGAAAGAGCAGAGGGTCTAATAGGGGAATGGGACAATGTCAGGGCTGTCTAGTAAATGCAACATCAGGCATAACCCCAGGGCAGCATCAAGGGGTGCATGGGAGACCTCGCCCCCCAGTTGGAGAGCACCTTTCTCTTGGCCACAGAGGAAGTTGGCACCTGCTTGCAGGAGGAAAGTTGGCCTCAGGAATTCAGGCTTAAACAAAAAAGGATGCCACTTGCTACCAGGAACACTCATATGAATGGTGAGGTTCCTTGGGGGAAAAGCTGTTGTACAGTAAAAATCCTTGGTGTCAACTACATGTTGAGCCACCTGCTCCATCCTGGGGGCTAAATGGAAGGTCTAAGTCCCCCGGTACCCAACATCCATGTTCTAGGAAATCTGTCCACTGGAGAAGATAGTTAGCGATGCCCTCTCACATCTTTAAGTGCCACATCAGGGACTTGGACTATCCCTGCTACGGGAACACAGTGGAACTAAGAGAAGAAAGAAAGAAATGCTTATTGAGCACCTACTAGATTCCTCCTAGGCATTGTGCCAGATGCTTTCATGTGCTATCTCATTTAATTCACACAGAAATCCTGTGACAGTTCATTATGTTTTTACAGATGAAGAAATTGTGGTTCAGAGGGGCTAATTGACTTGGCCAAGGTCACAGGTAGCAAATAGCAAAAGGCAAAACTGAGTTCCCAAACAAATCTGTTTGACCTCTTCATCTTTCTGCAGTTAGGAAAGCAGCATGGAGGAAGTTTCGCCCTTTGGCTCTTTATTTGAAGTTCTCTCATGGCCATTATTTCATCCTACTTTGCAATGCGGTGTTGTTTCCCAGACTATTTTGCAGAACACAAGATGTTAATAGGTGTTCTAGGCAAAAGAGCCTCCATGGCTAAATACATTGGGGAGATTGTGGGTGAAACTGGTTTAAGCCTGGAGCTCCTTTAGCCTTCAGTGTACTTCCATGTGTTTTGAAGCTCAAAGAAGAGACTATGGCAGGCACACAGTGGCTCAGGGCACTGGTGTCCAGTGGAAGCCCGTTTGGAAAGTATTGCTTATTTCCCAAGCATTTGATGAGCTTCTTCTCTGAGAATGGCCCCTGTGGTCCATGTTATTGCTCCCTCTGGACTGGACTGTGAGCAGAGATGGGGCCCTATCCTCCTCTCTCCCAGTGCCCATTGAACTTGACATAATTAGAGCTTAATCAACCTATGCGTGGGTGAGTGAAATAGGGCTCACCTTTAACCCTGAAGAGGTAGAGGAAAGAGCCATTGAGTTAGAGGAGGGCTTCCAGGAAAAGGAAGGAGTTAGACCTGTGACTCAGATGCAAATAGAGATGCTGCCCATTTGAGAAACGTAGAAAGAGGTTTGGTTTCAGCAGAGGGTGAGTATTTTAGATCAGCGACAGTCAGGGATCCTTTATCCAAGCACTTGGGCTATTTTTACTGCAATGAAATGGAATTTGCAGGACATCGAAAGACTGATGGTGACCAAAGGCCTTAATTCTCCATCTGTTACCGATGAATTGCAATGCTTAGTACTTTCCTGGGTCATAGCCATACTGGTTCTAACCCATTGCTTGAAGGTGGAATTACTCAGCTGAGCTCTAAGACCTGGCGGAGCTCACTGGCATTTTGTGGCGAACGTGGGGGTGCGTGTGTGCATGGCTGGGGGGAGTTGTGTCTAACCACAGGCAAGCTTTGGGGGTATTCTGAACGCTTTTACTACTTTTCTTGGACATGAAATTAAGGTCCCATGAGGACAGGCAGTTTTCATTTACCTTATTTGGAATACAGATTGACACATTTTTCCCTGATCTTTTGTTGAACCCAAAAGAACAAGCAAGCATAGTTTCTAAACAAAGAGGGACTTTGACAAAGCATCTTTAGACGGCATAATTATCAAGTAGAAACTTTTAACAAAGAGTTCTTTAGAGATTGAAAAATTCCCCATTCCTTATAACTGACAGCAAACCCTTTCTTGGAAGGGACCCGTTGGCCTGGCCTTGCTTTTGCTGCAGCCTGTAATTATAGTCACTTGATCTCCTGATTCAACTAAGAAGGAAGAAATCTGTACATATGAAGTGTCAGGGTCTCTCACGCCCCAGGTGGGGCTTTTTCTGAGAACATTCCTCCCAGAATTTCTTGTCACCAGTGGCACTTTGAAAACTTAGCGGTGAGCCGCCACGCAGCTCTGAGCTGTTTCTTTTTCATCTCTTTGGAAACTTTTCCCAGGAAAGTTATTTCTGTGACCTGAGAAAAGAGCACTGTGACAGGCTCAGAAGGCTCCCCACTGTCCTTCGATTCCAGCAATTGTCACCGAGCCGAAGAATCGCAGGGCAGCACCTCATGACTCACATCCGAGTCATGTCACCGAAGCTGCATGTTGCGTGCATGAAAAGGTCCTGTGTGCACGTTCTGCTAATGTTAGTTATCCACACTCTGACATCGCCGTTTGAGTTTCTCTGCTTCTGCCCTCCTTGCTTATGATCTGGTCATGAATGTATACCTTTGGAGAGCACCTTTTGGGTGTAGTTAATACCTAGTATTCTTTGGGCTGGGGGGCGGGGTGCAGTGGGATAGGGAAGAGAACCAAAAAGGAAATGTTACTTCATTTAAAGGACATATGAACCCAAAGTATCTGAGAGCAGTCTCAATCAATTTAGAAAGTTTATTTTGCCAAGGTTAAGGACATGCCTATGACACAGCCTCAGGAAGTCCTGAAGACATGTGCCCCAGGGTGGTCAGGAGACAGCTTGCTTGTATACATTTTACAGAGACGTGATGCATCAGTCAATATGTATAAGATGTGCATTGGTTTGGTCCAGAAAGGAGGGACAAGTCGAAGTAGTAGGCGGAGCTTCCAGGTCATAGGTAGATAAGAGACAAAGGGTTGCATTCTTTTGAGTCTTTGATCATCCATTCACTGAACACACAATTTACAGTGAGAAGAGTGGTGGAGAAATAGTCACTTTTGCCTTAGTCTGGCTCAATGAATCTGCATTTTTACATAAATAGGGCAGAGGAAGCAATCCAGGTATGCGTTTGTCTCAGGTGAGCAGAGGGAGGACTGTCTGTCCCACACCTGTGAAGATCAGCTAATCAGCTATCAATTTACATTGCCAGGTGAAGTTCAGCAGAATTGTTTTAGAATAAAGATATTGAGTTTCACAGGGAATTTCCTTGTGGCCAAATTGTGAGGAAGATACGTAGCTTTTGTTTTTTCTTTTTAAAATCTTTGTAGCTATCTTATTTAGGAATATAATGGGAAGCAGGTTTGCCTGAGGCAGTTGCCAGCAGTTCCCAGCTTGACTTTTATCTTTGGCTTAGTGATTTTGGGGTCCCAAGATTTATTTTCCTTTCACAGACAATATTCTCTAATAACACCTATCCAAATTAGGGGCTCTGGATGGTGTTTGGGCAGCAGACATGGTTAAAAAGAATGGCTGATTGTACAGTATGCTAATTATATCTCAATAAAGCTGTGAAAAAAATAATGAGTTAGGCCAGGTGCGGTGGCTCACGCCTGTAATCCCAACACTTTGGGAGGCTGAGGCGGGGCAGATCAACTGAGGTCGGGAGTTCGAGACCACTCTGACCGACTTGGAGAAACCCCGTCTCTACTAAAAATACAAAAAATTAGCCAGGTGTCGTGGTGCATGCCTGTAATCCCAGCTACTTGGGAGGCTGAGGCAGGAGAATCCCCTGAACCTGGGAGGCGGAGGTTGCAGTGAGCCTAAGTCATGCCATTGCACTCCAGCCTGGGCAACAAGAGCGAAACCCCATCTCAAAATAAATAAATAAATAAATAAATAAATAAATAAATAAATAAATAAATAAATATGACTCACTGATGCTGATTATCAAGTAGGTACTAGGAACTGGTCTAAACATTTTCTCTACCTTGATCTCCTTCAGTTTGTCTTCATAACCATCTCTATCACATAAATCCTATTATTATCATCCTTATTTAACAAATAAGGAGACCAATTAAGAGATATGCAACTTGCCTTTGACTGGTAAAGTGATGCAAATAGGAAGAGATGAAACAGAGATTCAAACCCTGGTAGTCCCACCCCAGTATTCATCTTCTATATGGGATTAGGCAAGATTCCTGAAAAAGCTTCTAAACCCCTCATATTAAACACAAAGACTCTGTTCCAGTGAGTAGACTATGCCATTCCCTGTCCCCAAATTCAGCCTGGCTCCCCCTCCCTGGTGCATGTCCTGTAGATGGTGGAGTGAAAAGAGGTGCAGTTTGACAAAAGAGGGCATTCCATCTCCTTATCTTCTGATATTACTGTCAGAAACAAGTTCCTGGCCTCTCACTTCAGCTCTCTTCTTTTCAGCCAGTTATCCCCTGAACAAAATTGCCTCAAGATTACAGATGAGCAGCTGTGTTTTGGATGCAGGAGCATTGCCATCTTGCTGACAGCTGAGTTTTCTCTGGGGACATCAGCTAGCCCACAGCACCCCACTCTTTTTCCACACTCCTTATTTTCCTGTAAGCTGTGGTTGGTTTCCTCTTGTGACCACAAATGAATCAAAAAGAGAACTGTTTCCCAGTTATTCCTTATTATGTCAAAGCAGATGTTCAAGGTGAGGCTCCGGATGACTTATCAAAACTCCAGAGGTGATTTGTGTCCTGATAACAGTGAGGTCTCAGACTCACATGTATGCAGGTGGAAGGCAGGCAGTGTCAATATGCAAAGCGTGCCAGGCATAAGGGGGTAAGCGCCATGTCTCTACCATTGTCACCAAGCACAGCACCTGTCTAGTTGTATTGCCTTTTAAAAGACAGACTAGGCCGGGCACAGTGGCTCATGCCTGTAATCCCAGTACTTTGGGAGGCCGAGGCAGGTGGATCACCTGAGGTCAGGAGTTCGAGACCAGCCTGACCAAAATGGTGAAACCCCATTTCTACTAAGAACAGAAAATTAGCCAGGCATGGTGGTGCATGCCTATAATCCCAGCTACTTGGGAGGCTGAGGCAGGAGAATCACTTGAACCTGGGAGGCGGAGGTTGCAGTGAGCCGAGATTGCACCATTGCACTTCAGCCTAGGCAACGAGAGTGAAACTCCATCTCAAAAAATAAATAAATAAATAAATAAAAATAAAAGACTAGATACATTGGCCAACAATATATGTTTGAGGCCCTTTGAGTGAAAAAGATTATCCAGATTTAGTAACCTTGAAGTTCCTGTGAAATATGTGATCCTGTGATATCATGATTCCTTTTCAGAAGGCAGACCAACCTCCTTTCCCCTCCAAAGATGTTTTGGAGAATACTTTGCAGAAAATATAAGAATATGAAATGTCTTCAAACTGTGGGATGGTGAGAAGGTGTGCCTTGGTATCAGCTGCACATTTCTGGAAAGTCGCATACTCATAGAACAGAATTAATTTTAGCAACTCTGAGAAAATGGCCTGTTTTTTCTCTCCCTCTTCTCCCATTCATTTAATATTTTTTTCCATCACTTTTCATATGCCCAGCACCTTGTGTATGTAGAAGGTATGAAAAAGTGCTGGGCTCGGTGGCTGACGCCTGTAATCCCAGCACTTTGGAAGGCCAAGGTGGTGGATCACCTGAGGTCAGGAGTTCGAGACCAGCCTAGCCAACGTGGTGAAACCCCACCTCTACTAAAAATACAAAAAATTGGTTGGGCATGGTGGATCACGAGGTCAGGAGTTCAAGACCAGCCTGACCAACAGGGTGAAACCTCGTCTCTACTAAAAAAATACAAAAATTAGCTGGGCATGGTGGTGGCATGTGCCCCTAGTCCCAGCTGCTCAGGAGGCTGAGGCGGGAGAATCACTTGAACCCGGGAGGCAGAAGTTGCAGTGAGCCGAGATAGTGCCACTGCACTTCAGTCTGAGCAACAGAGTGAGACTTCGTCTCAAAAAAATAAAAAAAATAAAAAATAAAAAGAACTACCCGGGCATGGTGGTGGGTGCCTTTAATCCCAGCTACTTGGGAGGCTGAGGCAGGAGAGTGGCTTGAACCTGGGAGCCGGAGGTTGCAGTGAGCCAAGATCACGCCATTGCACTCCAGCCTGGGCAATAAGAGTGAAACTCCATCTCAAAGAAAAAAAAAAAAAGAGAGATATGAAAAAGTGTAGGTTGTATCATTTTGAAAGTATCATGCATCTCAATATGTTAATACTCAGTAGAGTGGCTCGCTCATCCTCATTTGCCTGGAACTTTCCCAATTTTAGCATTAAAAGTTCTACATTCAGGAAACCCCTCAGTCCCAGGCAAGCCAAGATATTTGACCACCCCAGTGCTCTAGAAGACAGGACGAAATGATCTTGTGCAGGCATCAACAGAATTCCTTTACACATGACAGCTACAAATGCAGAAAGATACAGGTGCATCGTTTGATGACTCAGATGCTGCCAGCAGCACTGCTACTGGTATCATTACTTTACAAAATGACGAGCAGCTCTTGGTAAAATTCCAAACAAAGTGGAGTACGATCTTCCCTCAATTTACATGGTAGATGCTTTGCTAGAAAACTCAGCACATATTAAAATGTGCAGAAACACTCAGAGTTTAAATGTAAAATGTGGTTTAGATTTTATACATAGCTGCTTATTGACGTCTTTTTCACTAAAATGACTATCTGCTGAGACATTTGAAAGTCATGAGAGGCAAGGGACTATTGTGTGTGGTGTGGAATTTCCCTGTAGAGTGCAGAATGTTGATCATCCCTTGACCTCACCTCTAAATTTAGCCAATGGCATCCTCTAATTATAGCAACAACAAAAAACACCTGCAGAGGTTTCCAAAATACCCCACTAGGAATCAGTCCTGCTCTCATTGGAAACCACTATACTAGATATTTGAAAAGAAAGAAATACTCAAAAAGAGGTAAGCAACAGTAAGATCCTTTCTCTGGCATCCCTTTTTCTTTATCTCCTCTCCCTCTGCATGCCTGTCTCTCTCTTTGTCTCCTTCATCAGTACAAACTGTTGACATTTTCTCTGTGTATAACATCCTGCAAAGTGCTTGGGAAGGTCTGCAGGTAACTGCCATCTTTGCCTCCAAAGACCTTAAAGTATGCTTGAAAATATGAAACCAACCAGGAGAATCAGCTCAAAGTTAACCCATGGCACTAAATCAGGATTGCCTGCTCAGCTCCAGCTGTAACTGAATTGATTGGATGGTCTTCCCATTGTCTCCCCTGGCTCTCCACTGAGGCTCTACTCTTTTTTTTTGAGTCAGAGTCTCACTGTGTCACCCAGGCTGGAGTGCAGTGGTGTGATCTCAGCTCACTGCAACCTCCACCTCCCGGGTTCAAACAATTCTCCTGCCTCAGCCTCCCGAGTAGCTAGGATTACAGGCACCCGCCACCACGCCCAGCTAATTTTTGTATTTTTAGTAGAGACGGGGTTTCACCATATTGGCCAGGCTGGTCTCTTGGCCAGGCTGGTCTAGAACTCCTGACCTCATGATGCGCCCGCCTCGGCCTCCCAAAGTGCTGGGATTACAGGGGTGAGCCACCGCGCCTGGCCTCTCCCACTTATCTTTTATTGATCATAAGATCAGCCCAGTGCTTTCAGCCTCTTTTTGTACTTTGGCACCTGGGGAGGAGCTAAGGCCTACACCTCTCTGAGTGGAAGAGTTTCCTGGGCAGCCCTGTGTTTGGTCCCAACCAGTTATTCAGCATGGTCCATATTGGCATTATTTTGGGTGGGGCACAAGAGTTGGAAATAAGCAATAAATAAAATACAAAAAAATTCATGATGAGAGAGAAGAGACCATAAGAAATTAGTGAAGAGCCACATCGGAAAATTGAGCAGATGCTTTGCACATAAAAGCAACAGTTATAATAAGAGGTATTATTATTATAGTTGTTTTTGTACTTTGTGGGGTTGTTCGGGGCTTTCCAGAATCAATATCTTGTTGTTAGAAGAAAGACTGGGCTGAGTGTGGTGGCTCATGCCTGTAATCCTGGCATTTTGGGAGGCCAAGGTGGGTAGATCACTTGAGGTCAGGGGTTCGAGACCAGCTTGGCCACCGTGGTGCTAAAAATCTCTGCTAAAAATATATCTCAACTAAAAATACAAGTATGAGCTGGGCATGGTAGTGTGTGCCCTTAACCCCAGCTACTTGGAAGGCTGAGGCATGAGAATTGCTTGAACCCAGGTGGCAGAGGTTGCCGTGAGCAGAGATCACGCCACCTTACTCCAGCCTAGGAGTCAAAGCGAGACTCTCTCAAAAAAAAAAAAAAAAAAGAAGAAGAAGAAAGACTATTAAGTTTCATCAGTCCTACAACGTTTATAAGTCATTTTACAAACATTATCATATATGGTCCTCACAACAACCAACTTAATATCCCTATTTGACAGAAGTCTAACCTGAGGCTCAGGGAGACTTAGATTTGGTTAAGGTCCCACGCTGTAAAATAGCTCTCTCAGATTCATGCATGGTGTTTCTATGAGACTACACTGCCTTTTACTCAGAGGAGGCATTTGAACTGAATCTAAATGAAACCTTAGATGGTGTGGGCCAGACCAGAATGGGGACCTGCATTCAGAGAAGCAAGTGCTCCCCACGAAGAGGTCAAGGTCCGTGTAGAGGAAGTGGAACTCACAAGGTGAGGGCAGCTTATGGACGAGAGGAATGAGGGGCCCTTCCGGGGAGGTGAGGGAGAGCATGTGCCCACACGGGGCTGAGAGGCTTCAGTTAAGAGACCAGGCTTGTCAGGACAGCATGCACTGGTGTGTTTTGACAGAGAGGAGAACGTGGAGCAAAAGGAATAGATTCTAAGATCTTTGAGGGCAAAGACTGCTCATTCCTGTTTATTATTCCCAATACCTGAAATAGAGTAAATACATCATAAATGTTCACTTGAAAGTTGTGTGGCAGGTTGAAGCCAAGCCAAGGAGTTTAGGGTTGAAGCCACAGCAAGAGAGGGCTTGTCTGCCTTTTTAGAGTTCAATAATAATGCCATGATGTATTTAACTTTTATTTTGGTTTCAGGGGTACATGTGTAGGTTTGTGATATAAGTAAATTACATGTCATGAGGGTTTGGTGTACAGATTATTTTGTCACCCAAAGAGTAAACATAGTAGGCCAGGCCCAGTGGCTCATGCCTGTAATCCCAGCACTTTGTGAGGCTGAGGCGGGTGGATCACAAGGTCAGGAGATCAAGACCATCCTGGCTAACGTGGTGAAACCCCATCTCTACTAAAAAATACAAAAAATTAGCCGGGCGTGGTGGCAGGAGCCTGTAGTCCCAGCTACTCGGGAGGCTGAGGCAGGAGAATGGCGTGAACCCGGGAGGTGGAGCTTGCAGTGAGCCAAGATCGCACCACTGCACTCCAGCCTGGGTGACAGAGCGAGACTCCGTGTCAGAAAAAAAAAAAAAAAAAAAGAGTAAACATAGCACCCAATAGATGGTTTTTTGTTTTTTGTTTTTTGTTTTTTGTTTTTAAGATGGAGTCTCACTCTGTCGCCCAGGCTGGAGTGCAGTGGTGCGATCTTGGCTGACTGCAACCTCCACCTCCCAGGCTCAAGCAATTCCCCTGCCTTAGCCTCTCGAGTAGCTGGAATTACAGGTGCATGCCCCCATGCCTAGCTAATTTCTTTTGTATTTTTAGTAGAGAGGGGGTTTCACCATGTTGGCCAGACTGGTCTCGAACTCCTGACCTCAAGTGATCCACCCACCTCGGCCTCCTGAAGTGCTGGGATTACAGGCAATAGATAGTTTTTCTATCCTTATTCTCTTCCCACCCTCCACACCCAAGTGGGCCTAGTTTTCTGTTCTCTTCTTTGTGTTCATGTAAACTCAGTGTTTGGTTTTCACTTATTGGAGGTAAACATTTTGTGTTCCTGCGTTAGTGTGTTTACGATAATGGCATCCAGCTCCATCCGTATTGCTGCAAAGGACATGACCTTGTTCTTTTTTATGACTGCATAGTATTCTATGGTGTGTATGTACAATATTTTCTTTTTTCAGTCTACTGTTGATGGGCATCTAGGTTGATTCCATGCCTTTGCTATTGTGAATAGTGCTGCAGTGAACCTATGTGTGCATGTGTCTTTATGATAGAACTGTTTCTACTCCTTTGGGTATATACCCAATAATGAGATTGCTGGGTTGAATGGTAGTTCTAATTTCTTTGAGAAATTGCCCAGCTGCTTTCCACAGTGGCTGAACTAATTTACATTCCTACCAGCAGTGTATAAGCATTCCCTTTTCTCCAGAACCTCACCAGCATCTGTTATTTTTTTACTTTTTAATAATAGCCCTTTTGACTAATTCTGTGATTTTTAATTAATGAAACTTGCAGCTCCCGAGGTATGGTGAGTGTGGTGTTACAGGAAGATTGACCTGGCAATGGTATAAGTTGGTGAAAAGGTGTAAGTCGGAGGCAAATACTGATGGAGATTTGGGAGTCTGCTGTGGAATATAGGGGGGAGATTCCATGAGACTTTTGGGGAGGCAGCTTTGTGTGATGAAAATAACAGGACTTTGAAGTCAGACAAACCTGGATTTGAATCGTGGCTCTACCGTATTCTAGCTGTGTGCCCTAGGACAAGTAGCTTAAACTGTCAACTTCAGTTTCCTAATCCATACAAACGGGGATTAATATATGTATCTCAGAGAGCCGCTGGGAAAAATAAAATAGATGTATGCAGATCTTGTGTTCCTAGGAAATATTCAATAAATGTTTTGATTTTGTGTCCTCCTTTTTGCCAAAGGAATTATTGATCAGAAGTTGATAAGTAATGGGATTTGAGACTCCAGAATGTGCTGCCTAAAGATGGTGACTATAATAGAAAAATTAGATGTTGGGGTTTGTTTATTTGTGTTTTTAAAAGGAGATGGGAGCTTGCTGTGTTGCCCAGGCTGACCTTGAATTCCTGAACTCAAGTGATCCTCCTGCCTCAGTCTTCCAAGGGACTGGGACTAGAGGCATCACTGCACCCAGATCAATGGGTTTTTTTCATGTTAACTTTGAGTGACAGCCTAGTTGAGATGCCTGGGGTAGAATTGGTGATATGGGGCCAAAACTCAGCTGAGGCTTGAGAGGGGTGAATTGTGCAGAGACATTGATTTGGAGAGTCCTCAACAAAGGAATGAATGCTCTGATCAAAGAGTCACAAGATCAAAACAGAGACCAGGCTGTTGGTGTTCCATGCGCTCATCAACGCTGTTGATTAGCATTACCCCATCCTAGGAAACATGACAGGTTGCTTCCAGATGTTACCTTCAAGATCTGCATTCCTTTCAGATTGCTCGTCTTCTGCCACAGCTAGCAAGATTTGCCCGAACATTGAGGTCACAGCCTCAAATGAGCCCCTCAAAGCCTCAGAATGACAGGAGAGAAGCTTGGTCAGGCACTCCACTGGCATCTAAGGTAGACTGAGCTCTGCCAATTTCCAAAGACAGATGGGGCTGAAGAGCCAAGTTTTGGTAACATGGACAAAAACCAAAGCAATTCCAGATGTTAGAGCCGGAGCAGCCAGCGCCTCTGTTGCTTTCCACCCCTGTAGCATTAAAATTAGAGAGCAACAGCCAAGTAATGAAGCCTGGGTCACTCCCCATCTGTCTCACTAAATGCCATTTGGAACCAGTGCCTTTTCATTTGACAGTAAAATCAATGAATGAAATATCGCAGGGTTGAAAGTGATGCTGTTCAGAATTCATTATGGGCGATGCTCTATTCCAAAGGATGGAAGACTCAGCCCTCTGCACTTTACTTTCCGGTAACATCAACACATCTACTTAATGAAACTTGAACCTTCTGTTAATCCTTCACCTATTTGCTTTTAAACTGAGTCGTTTTGAGGAAAGTCTAAAGGCCTTCTCTCTGGATTCTGCCTCTTAATGAATTAGCTATCACAAAAAGTTGGAAGATGCAGCAGTTTAAGGAAAGAGGGACTAGTTAATTAGGAAAACAGCTTGAGATTGGAGGACTTTTGCCAATAATCACTGGGTCCCTTATCAGCCAACACCATTTCCTTTGAATTGTTCTTTCCTGTTGAGAAATGTCTCAGCACTGAGCACACCGAGCTGAGGGTCACAATTTGTACAAATTCAGATACAGCTATGAGGTGGGAGAGCAAAGAAGGGTGGCAAAGAGAAGAGGGAATGCCCTCACTCTTGGAATTAACACCTGCCTCTGGAAAAATGGAAGACACAGTTGAAACAATATCATTCCTTTATAAGTAATGAAAACTAGGATCAACATGAGAGAACAGACTCTTTTTTTTCAGAGAGTTTTGCTCTTGTTACCCAGGCTGGAGTACAATGGCACGATCTTGGCTCACTGCAACCTCCACCTCCCAGATTCAAGTGATTCTCTCCTGCCTCAGCTTCCCAAGTAGGTGGGATTACAGGCGTGCTCCACCACGCTCAGCTAATTTTTTTTGTTTTTAGTAGAGACTGCATTTCAACATGTTTGTCAGGCTGGTCTTGAACTCCTGACCTTGGGGGATCCATCCTCCTCAGCCTCCCAAAGTGCTGGGGTTACAGGCGTGAGCCACCATGCCTGGTGATAACAAACTCTTAAGGTGTGTGTGTGTAGTGTGTGTGTGTATGTGTGTGTGTGTGTGTGTGTAGAGAGAGAGAGGGGGTGAATGAGGCCAGGGCTCATTATCTGCTGCCCTTTCTACAACAGAAGTGTTCTTTCCTTGGGATAGTGGGTGTTTGATTTATGTAGGGGTATTAGACAAAAAAAGAAATACCTGGGATGACAAGTAACATTCACAGCTCATCTAAGAAATATCTTCAAATTTAATGCAGCCTTCCTTTTTTTTTTCCTTCAACAAATATTTATTGAGCACTTACTATATTCCCACCAGGTCCTAGAAATAATAAGTCATAGACTTCCCACAAGAGCCTGGGTGTTCAAGTATGACAGAGAGAGAGAGAGAGAGAGAGGCAAGAGAAAAAGCAAGAAAAAAAAACAGTGATGGGCATTAGAAGGCAACAAAGAAAGAGAGAACAAGAGTAAGGCAGGGCAGGGAAAGCTACTTCGGAGAGAGGGACATGAAGTAAGGCTTCTCCAAGGAGGAGAAATTCAAGCTGGAAACACAGAAAGGCGCTGACCATGACAAGAGTTGGGGTGAGCATTTCAGCATGTGCGTGGGCATGAGACAGGGCAGAGCTGGTGGTCTTGGAAGGGTGGAAAGTCCAACATGGCCGGGGTATAGGGAGTGACAGGTGGTGTTATGAAATTAGGATGGAAATGAGCGGGGACATATTGGGTAGGGACGTATAGGCTACCACAGTAAGTTTGGGTTTTTATGTCTAGACTTTTCGAGTAGGGAACTGGATGGGAGAAGACGTCATGGAAGAAAGGTGACCACTTAGCACCAGGTAAGAAAGTTGGTACAGCAGTATTTGCAGATGGAGGTGGCTAGATCCAAGATATATTTTGGAGTTAGCATGATAGGGATGCCATTGGTGAGAGAGAGGAGGAATTTGGGCAGACGCAGATTCCTGTTGTGAGCCACACTAGGAGGATGGAGTCACTGTCACTCAGCCTTTTAAGGAATGTTCTTGGCACATCAGCAGTGCACTTTGTCTGTGCCAGGGCTGGAGAAGCAAACAAGTGTAGAATGCAGTTCCTTCCCTCGCTGGCTTCACAGTCAAAACAGGAAGATGGACGTGTGAATAGACACTTAAAGAACGCCTTATGGTACTGGCACCCACCTGGAGGTTTTCTGCAGAACGCCCTGCAAAGCCTATTGTTTCCTCATCCACAACCCCCATGTTTGTTTTGTTGCAATCATTATTGTTTTGTTTTTGTTGGTATATGTGAAATCTATGGCATATGTTCTACTTGGGAAGGAGCATATATAATGTTTACATTCTGTTTAAAGAGTAATAAACCTAACATCCATGCACCCACCATCCAGCTTAAGACAAATCCTCACCCAAAGACTTGGAGCTCCATGTGGTCTTTGCCCCAGAGCTAACTATTGCACCAAATTTTGGATTTATCACTTCCATGTACTTTGTGGTTATAACAGTCACGATCACAAGCAATATGTATTTCTTTTGCCTCTTTTAGCTTTATACAGTGGAAGCATTCTATATTAATACTTCTGTGACTTGCTTCTTTTGCTCAAATTACGTTAGTGAGATGCATCAATGTCGCGCCATGTAAACTGAGTTCATTCATTTCACTGATGCATGTGAATAAGTCACATTAGATTGATCTATTCTTTTGTCATAGGACATTTGGATGTTTGCCATTTTTGGCTATTCCTAATACTTCTGTGAGTACTATTTATGTATCTCCTAGGGTTTTCCTGAGAGGTTACATGTAGGAGTGGGTTAGAGAATGTGTGTGTGTATGTGTGTGTGTATGTGTACGTGCATGTATGTGTGCATGTGTATGTGTGTGTGTGTGTATGTGTGTGCATGTGTGTGCAGTGTGTGTGTAGTGTGTGTGTATGTGTGCGTGGGTGTGTGCATGTGTGTGTATACACAGTCAACTTTATTAGTGACTGCCAGTGATTTTCCAAAATGGTTATTCCAGTTTACACCCCTACTAGTGATGAAGAGTTCTTATTGCCACCCATCTTAACCAGTTCTTATTCATTATTGTTTCACATTTTACGATCTTTTCCAATCTAGAAGAATGATACCTGAGATATTAATTTGCATTTTTTCATCATTAATGAGGTTATACATTAGGTATGTGCATTGGCTGGTTGAATTTCTGAGAAATATTTGTTTATATCTTTTGCCCATTTTTTTTGTTGCTCATCTTTTCCGTATTGACTTGTAGCCGTTCTTTATCTGTTCTGCAAACTAAGCCTTTGCCAATTTTATATGCTGCAAATATCAGCCTTCAGTTTATTGCATGTCTAATTTTTATGATGTCTTATGATGTGCTGAAGTTCTGCACTGAAGTTGAATTTATCAGTCATTTTTTTTACGGTCTTACATGTTTTTGGATTCGACTTATGAAAATAAACCAAAACCTGGGGTCATAAAAATACTCTTCTTATTGTATTCTAAGTTTTTGAAAGGTTTGCCTTTCACATTTAACTCCTTCATTCATATGGGATTGAATACTTTTTGTATGGTAGTGATTTGTTCCAAGATTTTTTTCATTACCTTTTCCATGCTTATTTGTCACAGATCAAGTTCCTATATATGAATGAATAAGTTCCATTGGTTGTTTATGTATTCCTAAGTCAATACTACATTGTGTTTAGATTATTATGCCTTTATAATAATCCTGATAGCTAGTAGTGCTAGTTTTCTTACCTGCTCTCCTCCCTTTTTTATAACTTAAAAATTGAACTATTAAAAACGTAAATAAAACGGGTGCAGTGTCCCACACCTGTAATCCCAGCACTTTGGGGGGCCAAGGCGGGCAGATCACCTGAGGTCAGGAGTTCGAGACCAGCCTGGCCAACATGGTGAAACCCCATCTCTACTAAAAAATACAAAAATTAGCTGAGCGTGGTAGCAGGCACCTGTAATCCTAGCTACTAGGGAGGCTGAGGCAGGAGAATCACTTGAACCTGGGAGGCGGAGGTTATGGTGAGCCGAGGTTGCGCCACGGCACTCCAGCCTGGGTGACAGAGTAAGACTCTGTCTCAAAAAAATATAGTACCAGCTCAATGAATTGTCACAATCTTGGCTGTTCTTAACCATATATATTTTGGGATAAGTTTGTCAAGTTCTTTACCTATGTACAAATACACATACACACACATTGGGATTTTGATTGCAATTTTATTTCTATCTATAAATTAATTTGATGAGAATTGTTGTATGTGTGATAATGAATCTTCCTATCTATAAACCTGATTTGTTATTATTTTATTTGTTCTTTAATATCATCCAATAACATTTTGCAATATTCCCCTTAAAGTCTTGTACATCTTGTATAATTTATCAGTAGACTTCAATTTTTTTATGATGTAAAGAGTACTTCTAGTAATGTGTTTTTTGTCTATTTTGAATACAAATTCATCAGCTTTTTTTGTATTTGTATTTTCTTTTATGTCTTCTTCCCTCTTTTTATTTTCAGAGTTTTTCTTTTAAATGATATATAGTTGGATTTATTTAAATTCCCAAATGAAAATCTTTCACCTAAAAAGTAAGGGTCTATTTACTAGATTGCGGCCACCAAGATGGCAGGTGTTATTTCTGCCACTTGATATTGTGCTTTCTAGTTGTCATACTTTTTAGATTTCTTCATTTCTCCTTTCTAACCTTCTTTAGAATGACTGTAGATTTTTATTTCTCATTCTAATTTTAACCCCCACTAGATTGAAAGTTATATACCAAGAATCTTAACATGAATATTTAACTTCAAGTCTGAAATTAATATCTTCACTCTTCTCCAACACAGTGTGAGACGTTAGAAAGTTTAATCGCCTCCTTCTGAGTTACATGCTTGTTATTTTAAAAGTTTGCTTGTTCTATTTTATTCTTGTTCAAATTTCATTAATTAGATAGCCTTGTTGATTTTTCAGTTGGTATATATATTATTTTTATTTTTTGAGACAGAGTCTTGCTCTGTCACACAGGCTGGAGTACAGTGGCATGATCTTGGCTCACTGAAGCCTCTGCCTCCTGGGCTCAAGCAATTATCCTGCCTCAGCCTCCTGAGTAGCTGGGATTATGGGCACATGCCACCACACCCGGCTAATTTTTGTATTTTTAATAGAGATAGGGTTTCAGCATGTTTGCCAGGCTAGTCTCAAACTCCTGACCTCGTGATCCACCCACCTCGGCCTCCCTAAGTGCTGGGATTACAGGCCTGAGCCACCACGCCCAGCCTCAGTGGGTATATTTTTAAATGTTTATCTATAAAGTTGCTGTTTTTTTTTCTCACTATTCTTCACATTTCAGACCTTCCTTCTGGGATTATTTTCCTTCCTCCTGAAGTATATCTTTTAAAATTTCCCTTCATGTAAGTGCCTAGTACTAGTAGCATCTGTTTTTTATTATCTGAAAAATGTCTTTATTTTGCCATCCCGAAGGGTGTTTTTCCTGGATCTACAATTCTTGGTTGACACTTATTTTCTCTCAGCACACTGAAGGTATTCCACTCCCTTAAGGCTTACATTGTCTCTGTTGGTAAGTCAGCTGCCAGTCATTTTTTACTTCTGCAACATTTATTTGGTTCCTTTTCAAATACACCTGGTCATTTTTAACAGTTTTCTTGTTCTTTTATCATAAAATTGTATAATCTGTATGGTTATCTATTCATGAATAATAAATTACCATAAAACTTAGTGGCTTAAAATAATTGGATTTGTTATGTCTCATAGTTTCTGTTAGAAACCCAGGAGGAGCTCAGCTAGGCAAATGTCTTCTGGGATCTCTCATGCAGCTGTAGTCACACATCAACATGGAGGGATAATTGACTTCTAAGGTGACTCATTCAAGTAGCTGTCAAGTTGGTTCCTGCTATAGGCCATGGGCATCATTTTTCCTCTATGTGGGCCTCTCCATAGGGCATCCTGAGTGTCCCTACAACATGGAGATTGGCTTCTCCCAAAGAGAGTAAACAATAAGAGACAGAGAGAGTGTGTGTGCCTGTGTGTGTGCGTGCCAGGCATAGGTCATAACATTTTTTTTTTTTGTAATTTCTCTTTTTTTTTCTTTTTTCTTTTTTTTTTTAAATTATACTTTAAGTTCTAGGGTACATGTGCACAACATGCAGGTTTGTTACATGTGTATACATGTACCATGTTGGTGTGCTGCACCCATTAACTCGTCATTTACATTAGGTATATCTCCTAATGCTATCCTTCCCCCACCCCATGACAGGCCCCAGTGTGTGATGTTCCCTGCCCTGTGTCCAAAGGTCATAACATTTTTATTACCTAGATTCACATGTCCCACAATATCACTTCTGTCCCATTCTATTTATTAGAAATGAGTCACTGAAACAATTCAATGGGAGGGAATCTCTGCCTTTTAAAGGGAAGAAAGGGAAAGAATTTAGGGACATATTTTATTTGTTTGTTTGTTTGTCTGTTTTTTAGAGACAGGGTCTCACTCTGTGGCCCAGGCTGGAGCATGGTGACACAATCATAGCTCACTGTAACCTCCAACTCCTGGGCTGTAGCAATCCTTGGAGACATATTTTAAAACCACCACCTACTTCCTATTATTTCTTGAAATATATTAAACAGATTTTCCTTATGTTCTGTACATGATGATTTTATCAGTCTTCTGGGGTTGAATTCATTGTTACTTCTGCAGTTTTTGTTTGATGTTGTGGTAAGTTCGTGTTCTTGGAAATTTATCTTTGAGGCCAGGTTTTAAAATACAGTCCTCTAGATAGGATTTGTATTTGCTTCTGCCAGGCTACAAGATGGTTGGCTTTCAGACCAACAAGATAGGTATGATTCTGGCCCCCAAACTCCCTGAGAATGGGCCTAGAATTAAGAATTCTCAGTGGAGATCACTGTCTTTTACCCAGACCCAAGGCTAAGACAGGCAAATTTCCTATAGAACTGGCTCCTTACTTCTTTACCCATCAAAGGTGTGACTTCTGGGGGATCCTGTCTTTACGCTTTGTTCTCTAGGGTGTTTTTATGTAATCCTGCTCTTCATCTCATTTTCCTGTGTTTGCCCCATTAAAACCAATGCTTAATTCCAGTAGGGATAGGCAGGCTCCCCAGTTCAGGTACTGCCTTCAGCTTGCTTAGCTCTCAGGGTCTGTGCTATCTTATCAGTTTCCATTATTGACTCAAGATCTGCCTTATGTTCTTGCCTACTCATCTATTTCTGTTACACACAGATAAATGCATGTATGTGCATATATACATGCATTATTTTTACATAGCATTTTTATGTGTTTTTATGCCAGAGTTTTGTTTTCCATGATTTATTTTTCTCTATGGTATCAGACACCAAACTACCCAGGAAGCTCTTTAGAAATACGAATTTGCTGGCCCAACCCAGAGTTAGGAAATTAGCAAATTAGAATCTTCTGAGATGGGTACCAGGTACCTATATGATTTTTTAAAACCTCCCCAGAGGATGCTGATGCCTGTCACTGTTAAAGATAATTATTATAATGAAGACATGGTCCAGAAGCAGTGGAAGCTCAGCAAGAGAGCTAAATTTGGCCGACACAACCGAGGAAGGCTTTATAGAGGAGGAAATTGCATTTCGCCTTTTTAAAACATTTCCTCTCATCCTTTGACTGCTACAGTTAGCTGGACAGTATGTAAGCCCCTTAGCGCCATGCCATGCGTTTGAAGACCCCAGGGGGATGTCCAGAGGCAGCCATTGTCTCACTGTGTGTGTAGCAAGGTCGTGGGACTTAGCCACTTTGCAGGATAAGATTCTGTAGCACTTATCAGTGCCCATCCACTTATCTGCCCATTGCCTAGGCTCAGAGCCACTATGGACCAGCTTACAGAGCAGGAACTTGCCAGCATTGTTCTTGGGTGCTATTGGGGGTATGAATTGGGCTGTCTGGGCTGGCGGTGTAATGTAAATATCAGATAAATTGCCTAGGCTCAGAGCCACTATGGACCAGCTTACAGAGCAAGAACTTACCTACATTGTTTTTGGGTGCTATTGGGGGTGTGAATTGGGCTGTCTGGGCTGGCGGTGTAATGTAAATATCAGATAAATTGCCTAGGCCCAGAGCCACTATGGACCAGCTTACAGAGCAGGAACTTACCTGCATTGTTCTTGGGTGCTATTGGGGGTATGAATTGGGCTGTCTGGGCTGGCAGTGCAATGTAAATATCAGATAAATGTAGCAGGGAGGATTCTATAGAGGCGATAACTCTCAGAAGGTTGGATACCATTATTTCACAACCCAGAGCTGTGCCAAACCCTGCAATGTCAAAAAAAAAAAAAAAAAAAAAGAGAGAGAGCGAGCGAGCTTTGTTTGACTTTACTGTTCACTGCCCTGTAAAAGACTTTCACGGTGGATCATGCTCCTCGATCCACATTGAGAGCAGATGCTAAACAGTGCCTGAGGCCTGTGCATTTGGAGGGAAGAAAACCCAGTTTGAATCTCAGCTCTACAACTTATTAGCAGCATGACAAGGATTTCACTGCCTCTGAGCTTCAGTTTTCGTTCTGTTAAATGGAAGGTAAAAATACCTATCTTGACATTGAGAACACATAGACACAGAGAGGGGAATAACACACACCAGGGTCTGTTGGGGGCCGAGGGGTGATGGGAGGGAACTTAGAGGACAGAGCAATAGGTGCAGCAAACCACCATGGCACATATATACAAACCTGCATGTTCTGCACACTTTTTTTTATTTTAGAAGAAATTAAAAAAAAAATACTTGTCTTCTAAGGTTATTGGAAGACTTACGTGAAGCAATGTATTTTAAATGCCCTATACTATACCTGGTATCTAGTGGACATTTCTGTTTATTATTTTTGCTGTTGTGATTCTGAAAGACCCTAATGGATAAGTAGGGCAAGGATTATTTTCATGTTCTCGTGTTTAGCATATGTAATGCCTGCTCACCTCTGCATTCAAGTCAAGACCAGACTTATGTATCCATAGCTTGAGCCAACTCTTCCCTCTAGATTTAGTTCCTAATAAAAAAGTAAAAATGGGCTGGACACAGTGGCTCACGCATGTAATCCCAGCACTTTGGGAGGCCTAGGTGGGCGGATCACCCGAGATCAGGAGTTCGAGACCAGCCTGACCAACATGGAGAAACCCCATCTCTACTAAAAATACGAAAACATTAGCCGGGCATGGTGGCACATGCCTGTAATCCCAGCTACTCAGGAGGCTGGAGAATAGCTTGAACCCGGGAAGCGGAGGTTGTGGTGAGCCGAGATCACGCCATTGCACTCCAGCCTGAGCAACAAGAGCAAAACTCTGTCTTAAAAAAATAAAAAAATAAAAAATAACAGTAAAAATAGACATTTTTGGCCGGGCACGGTGGCTCACGCCTGTAATCCCAGCACTTTGGGAGGCCAAGGCGGGCGGATCATGAGGTCAGGAGATCGAGACCATCCTGGCTGACACAGTGAAACCCCGTCTCCACTAAAAATACAAAAAATTAGCCGAGCGTGGTGGCAGCACCTGTAGTCCCAGCTACTGGGAGGCTGAGGCAGGAGAATGGCATGAACCCGGGAGATGGAGCTTGCAGTGAGCCGAGATCATGCCACTGCACTCCAGCCTGAACGACAGAGTGAGACTCCATCTCAAAAAAAAAAAAAAGAAAAAAATTAGACATTTTTAAAATTTATTAAACAAATATGAAGTATCTGGCACCAAGTTAGATGGTTTACAGATATGGTCTCTAGTCTTTATAATAAACTTCAGGTAGGTTTTATTAGCCTCATTTGACAAGAGCAAACCAAAGCTCAGAGAGTAAAAGATGCTGAAAGATTATACACTTGGCCAGTGGGTAAGCTGGGATTTGAAACTAAGGTTGTGTCGTTTTCCATATACACACACAGCCTCTCCTTCACCTTATACTTCTCTACCACAATTGCTGTGCTCAGGGTCTTTCCTCAGCCTGGAAGGCCTTCTACCTCCCACTCTGCCCAATAAACTCTTACTTATTCTTTAAGACCCAACACAAATGCTGCCTCCCTTGTAAGGCTTTGGCTCCCTCAGGTGCAAAAAAAATTACTCTTTTGCAATATTTTCATGGGATTTTACTTACATTCCTTTTTTGTACACTTTTTTGTACACTTTTACTTACATTCCATTTTTTGTCTTATGTCTCTTAGGCATATACATGTCTTTTGTACTTATTTGTAGTGTGTTTGAGGTCAGCAATTATATCTTTTTTTAATTTAATAAGGACTATCCTTTATACTTCATAAATGTTGATTAAATGTTTATTGAATTAAGAAATACAAATTAGGCCGGGCTTGGTGGCTTACACCTATAATCCCAGCACTTTGGGAGCCCTGAGGCGGGCAGATGAATCACTTGAGGTCAGGAGTTCGAGACCAGCCTGGCCAACATGGTGTAACCCCGTCTCTAATAAAAATACAAAAAAAAAAAAAAAAAAAAAAAAAAAAAAGAGCCAGGCGTGGTGGCAGGCACCTGTAAGCCCAGCTACTTGGGAGGCTGAGGCACAAGAATCGCTTGAACTTGGGAGGCAGAGGTTTCAGTGAGCCAAGATCACGCCACTGCACTCCATCCACCCTGGGTGACAGAGTAAGATGCCGTCTCAATAAATAAATAAATAAAAATTATGTTCAGAAAAGTTGTTAGACAGATACATTCTTAAGTATGTTTGTCCTTACATCTTCAGTGATGCTATACAAGTGACTACCATCTCTTAGCAGGGGAAAAAGTTGACACACATTTGCCTTAGTGCCTGGCTTTGCCCTTCTCTGCGAAGTTTCCACATTGCAAGTGCACAAGTAAAGGACCTTCTGTCTACCCAAGTTTTATAAGTTGCAGAAGCTTATTTGACTTGATCATATCTCCTGTTCCCAGTCCAGGTCTTTATCTGTGGCCCCTCCAGCTTCTTCATTACCTGGCACATAATTCTACATTTACAGAAGGGCACTGGACCGCATGTTGAGTTCTATTAGCTCAGAGTTGCAGCTGCTTCCATGAACAAGTTCTTAAAATGATTCATCATGAGGAGACTTACACCTAAGTTACTGGGTCACTGTCACTGAAAAATTGCATAAGTGGAATGGAATTAGAATCTCTCAGGAGCTAAAAGGTTGCATTTACAACAGGTTCTGCCATTTCTATGATGTCTTTCATTCAATGACACTTCAATAGAAAGTTAATTGAAATGGAAAAGATCAAGCACAAAGACAAAAAGCAAAAAGGACTTTACAAGATGTTTAGCCTTATTCCATGCTTTGATGAGGCATAGATGTAGAAGCCACAGGCAAGCCAAAAACTTTGTTTCGAAAACTGTTAAAACAATAATATGTCCAAAATTGGCCTGTCTCCAAGAAAGATTCACAGTACCCAAAATTGGGGAGTATTGATACAGCAAATACGGTAGGTCAGAGTCATTAGATCCTGTGGAAGATTCTCGGTATAGATGGGGTTGGTGATTGTGTCTAAGTCTTCAGTGGCTCAACAGCTATGCAATAATTGGCAGCCACAGAATCCTGGACCATCAGAACCAAGAACCTTTGTGGGTTGTTCTGTGGAAATATTAATGATCTTATTTTGCAAGAGTGGAGGTCCAGGTCTAAGAACAAGTGGGCCTAGCCTGGAACTCAGATCTCTTGTTGCTTGTTTCCAACGTTTACCTGTAGTAATTGCTCAGCCAGCTACAAAGCTGGCCTTAGCATACGGAGAAAATGTACAGACAAATCATTGCTGTGTGATGGGAGAATAGCTGTGGATAGGGATACTTTGCAGTCACAATATTGTCTCTGAGTGAGGGTCCACCAATTAGAGTTAGATGTCGTGTTTCTTGCAGCCCCGATACCCACAATGCAGTTTCAAATACCAGTTACTTAAAGCAAAGTTAGTATTCAAACTCACTCTTCACGCACAAGAATGCAGACTCCGAGGAGACTTCTACTATCCTTCCCAGTTGTTTAAACCAATAGCAATTTTTTTTTTTTTTTTTTTTTTTGGCTGAGACAGAGTTTCACTCAGTCGCCTAGGCTGGAGTGCAGTGGCATGATCTCAGCTCACTGCAACCTCCGCCTCCTGGGTTCAAGCGATTCTCCTGCCTCAGCCTCCCGAGTAGCTGGAATTACGGGCACACACCACCATGCCCGGCTAATTTTTTGTATTTTTAGTAAATACAGGGTTTCACTATGTTGGCCATGCTGGTCTTGAACTTCTGACCTCAGGTGATCCTCCTGCCTCGGCCTCCCAAAGTGCTGGGATTACAGGCACAATAGCAATTTTTTTAGCAGCTCACCATGGTCTAATCTTTCTAAAGTAGTCTATTTTGTTTTCAGAAAAACAACTCTCTTCCCACACTGCTAATTAATAGATGTACATAATATTAGAGTTCTCAATGGTAAGAACAAGAAATGACATAAAAGGTTTGGGAACAACCACAAGTCACTCTTGGTAAGCACCCAGCCCAGGTGGTGGAAACAGCAGTGTGTGGACATACCAGAGTGCTGCTTCGAGTGAGCCATCTGTGTGCCCTGCACATCAGTTACTATAAAAACATTCCTGGCAAAAAGGAAGCATTGGCAACAAGGCCTCAATCTATTGCCATCCATTCCCTCCCTTATGGACCCAGGAAAGAAAGAAAGGTGTCCTGGGTCAAGTCTTAAACACACTGACAGACCTTCTGTCAAACACACATATTAATACATTAATAGCATTTGCTAGGAGAGAGTCCTTATCTGTGGATTGCTTTTAGCAGTACGTACCTTGCTATGGTTTGGATCTGTGTCCCCACCCAAGTCTCATATCCACTTGTAATCCCCAGTGTTGGAGGTAGGGCCTGGTAGGAGGTGATTAGGTCACAGGGGTGGATTCTTCATAAATGGTTTAGCACCATCCGTTTCATGCTGTTCTCATGATAGAGTTCTCTCGAGATCTGGTCATTTAAAAGTGGGTGGCACCTCCCCCCATTCTTTCTGCTGCTCCCACCATGTGAGACGTGTCTGTTTCTGTTTTGCCTTCCGCCATGACTGTGCATTCCCTGAGGCCTCCCCAGAAGCGGAGGCTGCCATGCTTCCTGTACAGCCTGCAGAACCATGAGCCAATTAAACCTCTTTTCTTCTTCTTCTTTTTTTTTTTTTTTTTTTAGACAGAGTCTTGCTCTGTCACCAGGCTGAAGTGCAGTGGCTCAATCTCGGCTCACTGCAACCTCCGCCTCCCGGATTCAAGCAATTCCCCTGCCTTAGCTTCCCAAGTAGCTGGGAGTACAGGCACGTACCACCACACCCGACTAATTTTTTGTTTTTTCAGTAGAGACGGGATTTCACCATGTTGGCCAGGCTAGTCTCAATCTCCTGACCTCGTGATCCACCCGCCTCAGCCTCCCAAAGTGCTGAGATTACAGGTGTGAGCCACTGTGCCCGGCCTAACTCAACTACTTTTCTTATAATTTACCTAGTCTCAGGCATTTTTTTTATAGCAATGTGAGAATGGACTAATACATACCTGAACTAGGATTACTATGGGAAACAAATCTGTAATTATTGGGTTTATGGTACGTGCACCCCCTGGAAAACAGCACAGAAACTCTGTAATTGTTGGAATATAAAATTGAGATGTTTCATGACCGACATAGCTCTGTTCAGTGCAAGCAATGATGCATACACAACTCAGAGACCTCATATGTTAAATCAGGGCCAGAACACTTTTCCATGTGGCAAGGAATTGGAAAGTGGTATTGGTGGTCCTGGGCTTCTCTCTGCCTTGCCTAATAATTACTTGACACTAAGGCAATGAGCTCTGATATTTGTGATTCTGATCCTTTGTGTTATCTCAATTGCTTAATTCAGTGTATTGATTAGACATTCAAATAAAACAGCCTCTGGTAGATGTTCAAAATGCAGTAGGAAAAAGACAAATAACTGGTTTTTCCATTTTTCAAAGAGATTTTGTTAGAAATCTCTTATGAGAGAACCCAGATCTCTAGTGGAAGCAAAACCATCATAGAAACTGGAGGTTGGAACAAAGTCCGTTCCTAGGTGAGTTTAGCGAGAACCAAGTAAAAAAACCAGGAGCCAGGAAAGACAGATGGACACAGACAGAATGAAGATGGGCTGCCTCAGACTGCCAGTCAGATGTACTCCAAATCACGGTGCACGCAGAGGACCTGGCTTTTCAGTGATAAGAGTGAACCATTATCTCACTGACTGTAGCTGACTCTCTACAATTCTTGGTAGCTTTATAAACTCTCACCACCAGTGGTGGTAGTTTTGGTCACTCCCTGGGAGATCAGACTGAAGTATGTAGCTGTCCAAGTTAAGAGTGAAGCAACAACTTTTTTTTTTTTTTTGAGATGGAGTCTCGCTCTGTCACCCAGGCTGGAGTGCAGTGGCACGATCTTGGCTCACTGCAACCTGTGCCTCCCAGGTTCAAGCGATTCTCCTGCCTCAGCCTCCTGAGTAGCTGGGATTACAGGCGTGCACCACCATGCCCAGCTAATTTTTGTATTTTTAGTAGAGATGGGGTTTCACCATATTGGCCAGGCTGGTCTCGAACTCGTGACTTCATAATCCACCCGCCTCGGCCTCCCAAAGTGCTGGGATTACAGGCGTGAGCCACCACGCCCGGCCTGAAACAACAACCTTTCAATGTCTTAGCTTTAGCACTACAAACCTGTCTGTAGAGATGATGAAGTTGGCTTGTCTCTGTCTATTCAGTTTCCTTCTGGGAAAGCTGGAGGGCAGGCCAGGGTGGTATGGCTTAAGCACACAGCATTCTCTGGTTCCTTGCTGCCTTTCAAACAATCCTCCGTCACGGTAATTCCTCTCTACCAGGCCTTTGGCAAGCCATAGATAGTAGATTGTGCAGGGTTCATTTCTTGAAGTAAAGGAAATGAGCATGTTGTAAGCTATAGTATCCATTAATTAGAATTGTAATAATTTTGAGTAAGGAAAAGGATGGAAATGCCTCAGCTGTTTTCAAGGGGTCGTATTTAAACATCTAGACCTCTGAGCTAAGGGAGCGTGTTGTTTCTATGCAGTCTCCTTTATGTACCCCAGATGGGCGCTCCTGCCAGCACCTTTGATGGCGCTGAAATGCTGTTCTGACAAATCCACCGTGTGGCCTTCCTCACCGATTCATTCTCAAGTGGCCTTGAGCCCTAAATAAGGAACAGATGTCCCCCCAGGCAGACTTGCCCTGCCACTCGCTACTAAACTAGTGACGTTTTCCAGATTGAGCTTGTGACAACAGCCTCTTTATGTGGCCCGCTCACCTGAGACAGGTGTACCAGGCCTGCCATGGGCCCCTTCCTGGAGGAGAAGCCACCACCTCTACCTTCTCTGCCACTCTTTCTTCTTTTGCTGGCATTGCTCTGAGCAGGGGAAATGGCCTTTCTCCTCAAATGTCACCTCAGCTGTGCTTCCCCAAGCCCCTCCCCCTTTCTGCTGCATAGGCCACCCGTCCTTCACCCTGCACCCTTGCTGTGTCCCCTTATCTCCTTTCCTTTTTGTAGCATCTCTTGTCACCACTTAGCATTTCATTACATATTTATTTGTGGTCCAGCTCCCGCATTGGAATGAAAGTGCCAACAAGGCAGGAATTTGTTTTGTTTTGTTTTTTTAAACACTCAAGAGTCCAGAATAGTGCCTGACGTATAGTCACCTCTCAATAAATAACTGTTGGATGAATAAATGTGTAGATGAATAAACAAACAGCTGAATGAACAGATGAGCAGATTCGGGTTGGAATGCGATCTCTGACTCCTTGTGAAGAGGAACCTGGGTGTAATTGGAGACCATTAGTCTCAGTGAAGTAACTCAAGAGTGGAAAACCAAACGTTGTATGTTGTCACTGATAAGTGGGAGCTAAGCTATGAGGATGCAAAGGCATAAGAATGAGAGACTCCCGGCCGGGGGCGGTGGCTCACGCCTGTAATCCCAACACTTTGGGAGGCCGAGGCGGGTGGATCACAAGGTCAGGAGATCAAGACCATCCTGCCCAACATGGTGAAACCCCGTCTCTACTAAAAATTCAAAAATTAGCTGGGTGTGGTGGTGCGTGCCTGTAATCCCAGCTACTCGGGAGGCTGAGGCAGGAAAATCGCTTGAACCTGGGAGGCAGAGGTTGCAGTGAGCCGAGATCATGCCACTGCACTCCAGCCTGGCGACATAGCGAGACTTGGTCTCAAAAAAAAAAAAAAGAATGAGATACTCCCATAGAGTGGATTTTGGGGACTCGGTGGGGAAAGGGTTTGAGGGGGTGAGGGATAAAAGACTGTACATTGGGTACAGTGTCTACTGCTCGGGTGATGGGTGCACCAAAATCTCGGAAGTCACCGCTAAAGAACTTATTCATGTAACCAAGCATCACCTGTTCCCCAAAAAGCTATTGAAATAAAATAAAATAAAATAAGAATTTTTTTGGCAGCTGAGCGTTCTTTTCTTGGTGGTCACCTACGCGCATATAGACAAATGTGTTCCCTCTCTTGTTCTCTCCCACCGCTGCCCACCCCCATCTCTGAAACTTTGCCAGATGAAGTTTTTTCTACCCTGAACTTGGATGCCTCCATCGGAAAGGATATCAAAACTATTCAAAGGCAGTGTCTTACATGTTGGGATTGTTGGTGATTTAACGCCATGCCAGGAGAAGACCACTAGCTGGCCATTGTAGCTGTGTTGTCCTTGGCTTGCTAAGGGAGAATTCTCTCCGAAGAGGGCAGTGGCAAGAGGGAGATCAGTGGGCTGCGTCTGCACTGGCTTTGCTGACAGAGCCATACTCTGCTTTACCCCGTGTTTATGTGGAGTGTGTGCTGTTCAGCATTTGGAGGTGTTGGATGAGAAGGCTCTTGTGTGTGTGATGGCCTAAACAAAGCCAGGATCCGTCCAGACACCCCATTCTAGCTATTAATTTCAGCAACCTTCATTTCCAGGCTGATACTGCGTGGCTCATAAGGACAGTTTTGTTAGGAAACAAGGGTTCTGGCCTTTACTCATCTGTGTGATCTTGGGAATATCATTTACCCTCACAGCAAGTCAGTTTCATCAGTTATACGATGAAAAGATTGGACTAAATGAGTATTAAGGTTTTTTTCCAGGTGTAATATTTTTAACCATATTGAGATCCATTTATTTATTTATTTATTTATTTATTTATTTATTTAACAGAATCTTGCTTTGTTGCCCAGGCAGGAGTGCAGTATCTTGGCTCACTGCAGCCTCTGCCTGCTGGGTTCCAGCGATTCTCCTGCCTCAGCCTCCTGGGTAGCTGGGACTACGGGCACCCGCCACCACACCTGGCTAATTTTTTTTTTTTTTTTGTATTTTTAGTAGAGATGGGGTTTCACCATGTTGGCCAGGCTGGTCTCAAACTCCTGACCTCACGTGATCTGCCTGCCTCGGCCTCCCAAGGGATCTCCTCTTTATATTGGAGTTCTCATGTTCTTTTTCTCATCATTCAAATGAGAAGTTTGGTCCAAAATATCCTACAGGCCCTTGCAACTCTGATTCCTGTGATGTGATGCTGCATCAAATTTTTTAAAAGTACAAAAGCCTCGGCCAGGTGCAGTGGCTCACACCTGTAATCCCAGCACTTTGGGAGGTGGAGGTGGATGGATCACTTGAGATCAGGAGTTCGAGACCAGCCTGGCCAACATGGCAAAACTCCGTCTCTACTAAAAATACAAAAATTAGCCGGGCGTGGTGGCGGGTGCCTGTAGTTCCAGCTACTTGGGAGGCTGAGGCAGTAGAATCACTTGAACCCAAGAGGCGGAGGTTGCAGTGAGCCAAGATCACACTGCTGCACTCCAGCTTGGGCAACAGAGCAAGACTTCTCAAAAAAAAAAAAGTACAAAAGCCTCATCCTCGATGCAAGAGTCCCCTTAGACATAGCAGACTGTTTATAAACATGAGGGACGCAGTCTTCTTGATGGGCATCTTCAGGGCACTGGCAGCCAGGAATGTGGGTTGGGGCTCAACTTTCTTTTGAAAGTGGGCTGGCTTGGCCAGCATATTGTTTCCTTGGCAAAAGACTGGCAATTGATTGCTCTCCTCGAAGCATGTGCTTTGAGACGCATATATACCAGGCAGCCTAACCCAAAGTTGATGAGAATGATTCAGAAACCTTGGTTTTTCACTGAGGATGTTAAGGAAGCCAATTGTGAATCTCACCATAGACGGAGCATCTTGTCTTGTGAGTGAAATGCGGTTGTAGCTGTAATGAACTGGCAGTACATACCATCTTTGGAGTCAGAGTGCTTGATTGCAAATTTTAGATCTAGAAAATTCTGCTACATTGATAATCTAAAACCCACACCTGTGGATTCTCCATTGCCTCCCCTTTATATTAATACAATACCACAAAGTTGACTTCTGCTCTTACCCTGGGGGAGCTCTGCACAGCCCTGCCTAGGGATACTCCTTTTCTGCGTTCCCTTCCTCTTTGCTCAACAGCTAAACAGTGGAGAGCCCCAACACTCTGCCTTGGTCTTCTCTATAAGCATCTCCTTTAAATGAGCTCACATTTTAAAATACTATTCATGTTCCAATGATATGCAAATCTATAGCTTGGATCTCGGGCAGCTTGGATCTCAGGCTTAACTTACGGAAAACAGAAGTCTTGATTCCACTCAAATTATGGTATATCCATACTTGGAAATACCACTCAGCAGTAAAAAGGAAGGCAGTATTAATACACATAACACTTGGATGGATTTCAAAAGCATCATGCCAAGTACAAGAAGTCAAACAGGAAAAACTACGTGCTATAAGATTATAATTCTATTTTTATGAAATTCTAGAATAAGCTCAACTGCAGTGACAGAACGAAAATCAGTGGTTGCCTGGAGCGGGTGTGTGGGGAAGTGGATGGACCCAAAAAGAGCACAAGAAGACTTCAGGTCCTTGGAACAGTTCTGTATCTTGATGGTCGTGGTGCACTACCCATGACTGCACCCAGTTACTAACATTTGCTGAACTGCACTTAAAATGGGTGAATTCATTGAGTTGTACGGTACTTCAATAAAGTTGGGGAGGCAGGGAGGCTGACTCCACAGTTTTCTGGCTTAAGGGAGAGAATGGATTGCCATTGACTGACATGGGGAAGGCTGAGGGAAGAGCAGGTGTGAGGGGAAAAAACAAGAGTTTGATCTGGGACACCTTAAAGTCTGAGATGCTGAGCTGATCATTGGCCCAGAGGGGACAAGCAAGACCACAGGGCTGGACAGAGAGCAGCAGAGCTCTGAAGACTGTGTCCTGGAGCCCCAGCATTTGTGGTGAAGATTAAATAGGATAAACTATGTGAGAATATTACCGACATATACCAAGTAATACTTTCTTTTCTTAATTTATTGTTTAATTAACAAATAAAATTGTATATACTAAGGTATATAAGCCGATGTTTTGATATTTGTGTACATTGTGGAATGACCAAATCAAGCTACTTGACATACACATTCCCTCCAAGTATTACTTTCACGTTACCCTCATCATAATTTTCTATGGAGGTGAAATTCACATACTTCCATGTAGTTAACAGTTTTAAAGGGTGCAATCCAGTGGCATTTAGTGTTTTCACAACGTTGTGCAACCACTTGATGTCTCTAGTTTCAAGATGTCTTTATCACCCCAGGAAAACACCGCGAACCCACCAAATAATCATTCCACACCCCCCTCTCCCTGTCCCCCATTGACCACTAATCTGCTCTCTGTCTCCGTGAATTTGGCTATTCCGAATATATCACGTGAAATGTGATATATACTGACTTAGTCATGCAATATGTGACATTTTGTGTCTGGCATCTTTCCCTTGACATAAGGTTTCCAAGGTTCATCCAGGTGGCAGCATCTGTTAGTACTGTGCTCCTTTTTATGGCTGAATGTGTTGTTATTACTCCATTCCTTTCCACACACCAGCTCCAGAGTGTGCATGAGTATACTTAGCTGAGCCCTTCCTCCTTCCACCCACTCTCCCCAGCCTGTCCTTCCTCCTCCTCCCTGTGCTGCACCTGCCTTTGTGTCAGTGGTGCAGCCCACCTGCTCCCGAGGGACTTACCCCACGCCCAGAAGCACTTCTTCTTCATCCCCAAGACATACACCATAGTAATTTCTTGAATTCACCTTCACCGCCTCTTTGGCAGAGCCAGATTGGCTCCTAACACAAGCCAAAGTGTTGCCTTTGTAACAATTCTATTCAGCAAGCAGGAAGAGAGTGCTAGGAGGCTGTGCATTGGGACGTGCTGGGGTTACCAGAGCTGCAGAGCCCACTGTGCCCCTTCCTTCCGGGCTCAAGCCCTTATGTGGATCACAGGGGAGACAAGCACTCTCACCTCCCGGCTCCTGGTTTGGCCCTCGGCCCCTGCATGTCACCTGTACACAGGCCCCTCAGAAGATGTTGCTGACCATGATTTGTGTCTCCAGCCCTTACCTCTCCCCTCATCTCCATGCTTGTGTATCCATCATGGAATATCTCTAAAAGAAAGAATGAAAAGTAAATGCTTGATTTCCACCTGCTCAAATCATTCCTGATCCTACTCCACATAGTGGCAAGGATGTTCTCTTCAAAACACAATTCTGGGCCAGGTGCAGTGGCTCATGCCTTATAATCCCAGCACTTTGGGAGGCCAAGACGGGTGGATCACCTGAGGTCAGGAGTTCAAGACCAGCCTGGCCACCATGGTGAAACCCTGTCTCTACTAAAAATACAAAAATTAGCTGATTGCAGTGTGGCGTGCCTGTAGTTCCAACTACATGGGAGGCTGAGGCAGGAGAATCACTTGAATCCGGGAGGCAGAGATTGCAGTGAACCGAGATGGTGCCACTGAATTCCAGCCTGGGTGACAGAGCAAGACTCTGTCTCAAAAACACAAACAAACAAAACCCACAATTCTGACCACATCAGCACCTAGTCTCAACACTGCCGTGTCACTCAACTCCAAGGGACACTGTTCACGTTGCCTCTGTGCAGATGGTGCCCTGGTGTCATACAGCAGGATGGTCCTGCCCGCCTGTTCCCTTCAGTGGTTCCCCCTGCTTGTCCTTCGTGGAGAAATCCCCTTACTCTGGCCTTGACCACAAGGCCCCCAGACCAGCCCTCCTGGCTTCAGCCTCGTCTCCCTCGCCATCTGCTCCTCCATCTATTTGTCTCAGCCACATTGACCTTGAGTCCCTGCAGAGGTGTTTTTTCCCTCCTGATACAAAGCAATGATCAGATTCTGTGCAGATACCCACTAAGTGTCCTGCAATTCAATTCAATTCACTTCTGACCCTAACTACCCAGAATTAGTGTCAGGCTGCACGGGCTTAAGAGCTCCATCCCACAAAACCACCATCACTTCAGACGCCAGCCACACATAGTGGGGCCCCAGGCTGCAAAGTCAGAGGTTTCCATAGCACTCACCTCAGGTTCCATAATTTCTTAGAAGGATACAGAGCTTAGGAAAGTGTTTTACTTTCTGTTGCAGGTTTGTTATAAAGGATACAGCCCAGGAACAGCCATATGGAAGAGATGTGAGCTATGGGGGCAGGGCGTGGAGCCCCCATACCTTTTCCAGACATACCATCCTCCCAGACCTGGATGTGTTTCTACCCAGTAGCTCTCTGAGCCCTATCATTTAGGGATTTTAATGTTGGTTTCATTACATAGGCATGTTGACTAAGTCAGTAATGATTGGTGATCAATTCAGTCTCCAGCCACTGCCGCCTCCCTGCAGGTTGAGGGTGAAGTTCAAAGATCCAACCCTCTAATTCTGCCTTGTTACTTCTGTCAGCCAGCCCCTATTCTGAAGCTCTCTAGGGGCCTAGTAAGAGTGGCCCCCTTAGGGCCGGGTGCAGTGGCTCACGCCTGTAATCCCAGCACTTTAGGAGGCTGAGGCACATGAATCACCTGAGGCCAGGAGTTCGAGACCAGCCTGGCCAATATGGTGAAAGTCCATCTCTATTAAAAATACAAAAAGTAGCCGAGCATGGTGGCAGGCGCCTATAATCCCAGCTACTCAGGAGGCTGAGACAGGAGAATTGCTTGAATCCGGGAGGTGGAGGTTGCAGTGAGCCGAGATCCCGCCATTGTGCTCCAGCCTGGGTGACAAAAGTGAAACTCTTGTCTCAAAAAAAAAAAAAAAAAAGTGGCCCCCTTAGAACAAAAGGTGTTGCCCCTGTCACCCAGGAAATTCCAAGGGGCTTAAGAGCTCTGTCTCAGTGATCAAGGAGGGACAAAGACCAAGTATTTTTCTGAGATACCACTTTACTCATCCTTGTCAAGCTTCCTGCTCTGAGGTCTTAACGCTCTTCCTCCTGCCTTCTTCCTCCCTTCCCGATTTCCTTCAGATGTCTATTAAATCCTTATTTCATCAGCAACCTTTTTGGCTAACTTCCCACCTTTCAGCATTCTGGACCTCTCTATCTCAGCCATTTCTGAGTCACAGTTCCACAATTGTTGGTGTGACTGTTTAGTGGACCTCGTCCTGTTTTATCAGCTGAATTCAGTCCCCCAAAATTCATATGTGGGAGCCCTGACCCCTTGTCACCTCACAATGTGACCATATTTTGAGATGGGACCTTGAAGGAGGTGATTAAGGTAAAGCTAAGACATGAAGATAGGCCCTAATCCCAGAAGACTGGTGCCCTTGTAAGAAGAGGAGGTGGCGGGGCACAGCGGCTCACACCTGTAATCCCAGCACTTTGGGAGGCCGTGGCGGGCGGATCACCTGAGGTCAGGAGTTCAAGACCAGCCTGACTGACATGGCGAAACCGCGTCTCTACCAAAAATACAAAAATGAGCCGTGCATGGTGGTACGCGCCTGTAATCCCAGCTACTTGGGAGGTTGAGGCAGGAGAATCGCTTGAACCTGGGAGGCGGAGGTTGCAGTGAGTCGAGATCGCGCCACTGCACTCCAGCCTAGGTGACAGAACAAGACAACGTCTCACCGTCTCAAAAAATAAAACTGTAAGCTCCACTGAGGGAAGGGACCGCCTCAGCCCTGCTTGTTGCTAGACTCTGATTCTGATATAGATGCAATGAATATTTGTTGAATAGATGAATAACTTATCTCATGATGTTGACAGAGACCTTTGAAATACGCCTTTCATTAACCTTATACCAAATGATGCCAAGCCAGCATACCTTTATCCTTTTAGTAAGTCCTGGCTTGAATTTCATCCACATTCTTCCTCATTCAACAAGAATTACTACATCTTTATAATCTGCCCAAGGATCAGGCTTAAGAATAGAAAGAGATTTTGTGCTTAAGTTTCCTGACCACTTCGCCATGCAAGGAGGGCCTCTCTCATCAGTAGCTGTTCTGAGTGAGCCGAGATCATGCCACTGCACTCCAGCCTGGATGACAGAGCAAGACTCCATCTCAAAAAAGAAGAAAGGAATACTATAAGGGGAAAAAAATTAAGCAGTAACTACTTAAAACCCAGAAATTTTTGGTAATAGTGATAATACTTAATCAAAATTGGACAGTTATTTTACAATTTAACAATTCATTTTACAGTCAAAACAGTGTTATGATAGAAGTAGGATGAGTTTTACTGTTATCCACTGTTAAAAAAATAAAAATTAAAGTTTGGAAATTGAGTCATTTGACCCAGGTGGCACAGTTAATAATTGAAAAAGCCAGAACTTAAATGTTGGCCTTATCCTACACAGAAGTGCTTATTCTACAACCCCGCTTTGCAGCATTCTGGAGAAATTAACAAATTAAACAATTTCTCCTAGACACTAATAATAGTAAGTCAAAGGAATATCTGTGAGTGAAGTATCTAAAAGATGCCAACAAATTCTGTTTTTTAAAAAAGACAAATCCAAAATTTCCATGGATGGAGGTTGTAGCTGGGCTGAGGCCAGCTCTGCCGCCTCGTGGAGGCCTCGTCTGAGAGGTGGCGGCAGCCATGCGTCCTGGGAGTCAGTGTTATAAAAGCAGCCTTGGAAGAGAGCCTAGCAGCTCTGTGTTCCTTTTTTAGTTTTTCCCATTTCCAAAGACCAAAGATCACGGAAGGAAGAAGAGAAAAATCATTATTTCAGATTGAACTGAAGTCTTAAACTGTAAATTAAGTTAATGTGGGCCTGCTGGGGATATCTTGGGGGTTGGGGAGGGTGGACTTGTTCTTGGATCTTGGCAGAAGAAATCATTATCTGGACCTTTATTGGACTGGATACCCTTTTCTGCATCTTGGGCCTTCCTTCTCTATGCTCCCGAGGTGCCCTGGGTAGGATGTCCTCTCAGCTCAATGTACTAGGATTAACACTGAAAGAAATTAAACTCAGAGCATCCCAGTGGGCACCAGAGGGTTCTGCAGAGGGGCCTGGGCTCCTGCCTGCAACCCCAGGTGGCAGTGCAGACAGGAGCAGGTGGGCTGGGCATGCACTTCGACCACCCTTTCTCCCCTTCCTCTCTGTGCCCTTTAGAGTCTACCCCATGGTGATGCCCGCTGTAGCCATTCCCTTGGGGAGAGAAATGCTTTGCAGATGTTTCTAACCATAAGTGTAGGTGTGAAAACATGGGCTTTTGTAACTGAGAGGTGGGAATGCAATCCCCTACTCTGAGATTTCTTGACCTTGACATGTGACTTTATCTCTCTAAACCTCAATTTCCCTTCTGAAAGGTAGAAATAAGTACACTGCCCACCTCGTGGTGTCATTGTATCTCTTTGATGATGCATAGAAAGCAATCAATGGCTGGGTGCAGTGGCTCACGTCTGTAATCCCAACACTTTGGGAGGCCGAGGAGGGCGGATCATGAGGTCAAGAGATCGAGACCATCCTGGCTAACACGGTGAAAACCTGTCTCTACTAAAAAATACAAAAAATTAGCCGGATGTGGTGCGGGCGCCTGTAGTCCCAGCTACTCGGGAGGCTGAGGCAGGAGAATGGCGTGAACCCGGGAGGCGGAGCTTGCAGTGAGCGGAGATAGTGCCACTGCACTCCAGCCTGGGCGGCAGAGCGAGACTCCATCTCAAAAAAAAAAAAAAAAGCTATCAGTATCCCAGTGCCTGGACCAAGTACTAACTAGAGGGAGCAGCACTGAGAAAAACTGACTCTGCTCATAGGGCAGCTGTCCATACACATATGGACAGCACAAGTAAAAGAAGAACAAGTATGGGGATGTTCTTGATGAGAATGTTGAGAAAACTCATCACTGACATAGCATAAAGAGAGCTCCCAATCAGGTTGGAAGGCAGCTTTGAGGTCTTCAAACCTAGTCTTCTGCGCAGTACAGAAATCCCCCTTCCCACAGCATGCCTGGTAGGTGACCACCCCCTTTCAGAGGTCCCCAAACCTACCCTGTATCAGAATTAATGGGGGCCACTGTTGAAAAAGAAATTCCCAGGGCTCAGCCTGCGAGTAGCTGCATCCGTGAGATTTGAGGCAGAGCCTGGCAAATGGTAGCTGGACCGTTTGAGAAGCTCTTTGTAAAGATAAAATTCAGAAGGGCCAAGAGCGTGCCTGTTTTCTTCCCTGCTGTGTCTGTAGCAGTTAGCACAGATCCTGGTGCAGAGTTGGGGCTCCATAAATACCTGCTGGATGAGGGCTGAATCATGCAGCCTCTTCCAGAACCATTCCGGTGATCGGAAGCTTCTCCCTAGAAAGGGAGCTCATTTCTGTTTTGATTAACTGATGGCTAGTTATGGTCTTGCTTATAATAAGCAACGTCTTTCTTCCTCTCATCTTCACTTATTCAGCCTAACTCTTCTTTCAAGAGTGACACAGATTCTGTTTGCTCTCAGAAGGGATTATCCCTGAGCCATAGTTCAGTAAGGGTGGAGTATTTTTTCCAAGTGAAAGGAGGGCTGAGTGATGAATAAACTGGGTTAGAGGTGCTTCATCAAGAAACTGAAACCCAAGCAATCAAAATGAGTGGCAATGAATTGGAGTACATAGATCGCATCTGAAGGACATGCAATATAAACCTGGGCTCCCCAAACCTGATTAAGAGTCCCAGTGAAGCCCTATGAAATAGATACCATTTTACACATGAGAAAAATGAAGAACTGAGAGTTTACTCGATATTACCTATGAGCTGGGTGTGGTGGTGCATGCCAGCACTATGGGAAGCTGAGGTGGGAGGATCATCTGAGGCCAAGAGTTCAAGACCAGCCTGGGCGACATAGCGAGACCCCCATGTCTACAAAAAAAAATTTAAAGTTAGCTGGATGTGGTGGCATACACCTGTAGTCCCGTAGCTGCTCAGGAGGCTGGGGCAGGAGGATAGCTTGAGCCCAGGAGTTCAAGGCTGCGCTGAGCCATGATTGTGCCACTGCATTCCAGTCTGGGTGACATAGTGAGACCCTGTCTCTTTATTAAACAGAGAGAGAGAGAAAGAGAGAGATTACCTATTAAATATAGAAGAGCTAGAACTTAAACCAGGTGGAGAATTATATTAAAGTTCAAAGAGGCTGGCTGTGGTGGCTCATGTCTGTAATCCCAGCACTTTGGGAGGCCGAGGTGGGCGGATCACCTGAGGTCAGGAGTTCGAGACTAGCCTGGCCAACATGATGAAATCTCGTCTCTACTAAAAATACAAAAATTAGCTGGGCATGGCGGCAAGCACCTGTAATCCCAGCTACTCGGGAGGCTGAGACAGGAGAATCGCTTGAACTGGGAAGTGGAGGTTGCAGTGAGCCAAGATTGTACCATTGCACTCCAGCCTCAGAGACAAGAGCAAAACTCCCTCTCAAAAAAAAAAAAAAAAAAAAGTTCAAACAAAATAGCAGCAGCTGAGTTTGAGACACATAGGAAAAAAAAACAAAAAAAGGAACTTCAAGCCAGAGTTTTGGTTTTGGCTCCTGGCTCTTCCATTGACTGCGTGTTTCTATAAACACCGCTCGCCCTTGGCAGTCTTCATGTGCAGTAGTAGATGGTTCCAGAGAAGTCATTAAGACCATCACAGTTCATCTGACTGTCTGTGATCCTAGGGTGCTTTGAGCTGGAGCTGAACTGCAAAGTAGGAGCTGTGAAACACACAGGTTCAGAAATTCTCCTTTTCAGTCTATTCGGGGTTGTTTAAATATCGTTCTGTGTGCATCTTCTCAGGAAATGTTTTCTTATTCTACATTGACTAGCCAGGAACACCTGGGGCTGTGTAGCAGCTCTTTCAGGAGGTTTAGTAAACGGTAATATGATATTATATGTTTTCCTACTTACAGACATCCTGCACTCAGACACACATTGAATGGTGCTATTAAATGCTTTTCTATTTTAAAATAGCTTATTAGAATAAATATGAGGTTGGGAGAGCACTATTAGGTTCTCTGCTGACAGTCAGGGCAGCCTCTGGTTTTAACATTTTAATATTCACCTAGTGGTATAAGCACAGCCGGTTTGATCAGCAGCAGTGATTGGCAGACTTCCTCTGTGTGCCCAGGAGCTTTTCTGGGGGTGGAAAAAAGGAGATAGCACTGAAAGCATCCTGCAGATCACAGCTAGAGCCACCTGTTCCTGGTGTTTACCTGGAGAAGTTAACTAGTACGCATCTACTTCCACTCCATTCAGATAGAATTTACCAATTCCAGATGGGCTAAGATGGTGGGTTGTGGATAATGTATATTTTTTATTTATTCACCCATTCATTCATCCATTCATCCACACACCTGCAGTATAATGGGCCCCTAGAGCACTTAAGCTTTTTAATCAAGGAAGCAGAATCATCAAATTTGTGCTTTCAAAACATTTCTGTGGCTAGGTAGGCAGAATGGAATGGCACAGGGCTACCCTGAGGAAAAAGTGATCAGGTACAAATCTGCTAATCCAGGAGAGAGAGAGAGGAGGAGAGCATGGTAGAGCAAGGGAAGGGATGAATTTGAGAAACACTCCATAGATAAAATCTGTGGGATTTGGGCATGGCAAGGATGTGAGGAATGAGGAGCAGGAGGGTTCAAGATTGAGTAAAAGGCTTCTAGCTGTGGTGACAAGTTTGATCTTCATGCTACCAACCAAGAAAACAGGTAGGGGTCACACCTATTTTGTAGGAGGAGAAGATTGTGGAGTTAGTTTTGGTCAGCTTGCGTTGAAAGTCATTGTGGAACAGCCAAATCACCTAAGAAGATGGTGGGCTGATACATAGATTGAAGAGTAGGGCACTTTGGAAAGAAGTCTGAGTTAACATGGAGATTGGTGATCATCTTCCAGTCAATAGTGTCTGAAGCCACCGGAGTAGATCCCATCATCTGTGGATAAAATAGAGAGTAACAAAAGGGGGCCAAGAAGGGGAGTTGGGGAGCACCAGCATGTTAAGGGTGGCAGAGAGAGGGAAGCTCCATGGAGGAGGTAGGGGAAGGATGTTCAGAGGGAGTACATCAGCGAAGGGACAGATGTCGCCGACGCTAAAGGCTTCAGAAAGGTGGAGTGGGGTGAGAGACAGCAGGGATGGGGTGAGGGGTAATGTAGCCAAATTTTGCAGAGTCCAGTCTATGCACCTAAATGTCAGCACTTGGGTAGGAAAACCTAGACATTATGAACACTGGTCATCCCAAAAGGGAGGAAGAGAAGTGCCTTTAGTTGAGCATCTCCCATGAGCCAGCACTTTACATCTGTCATCCTTTTTTTTTTTTTTTTGAGATGGAGTCTCACTCTGTCACCTAGACTGGAGTGCAGTGGCGCAGTCTCGGTTCACTGCAGCCTCCGCCTCCCAAGTTCAAGCGATTCTCATGCCTTAGCCTCCCAAGTAGCTGGGATTACAGGTGCATGCCACCACACCCAGCTAATTTTTTTGTATTTTTAGTAGAGGCGGGGGTTTCACTATGTTGGCCAGGCTGGTCTTGAACTCCTGACTTCAAGTGATCCACCCACCTTGGCCTCCCAAAGTGCTGGGATTACAGGTGTGAGCCACCGCGCCCGGCCTTGTATCATCTTAATCTGATCTCAATATCCATTCTTAGAGGTCAGAGATAGATTTTATACTTAACCTTTTATGATAAGGAAACTCAAGGCTCAGAGAAGCTATACCTTGGTCAAATCATACACAGGTGGGGCTAGAATCCTGTTTTGCCAAGTTTTAAAATCCTTTGTCTTCCTGATTTATCATGCTGCCTTCTTTATACCCAATGGACGAATGCTCAGCTCAGCCTTTTCATGCCAGATGCACTGTGTGGAAGAATTGTAGTTCTCTGCTCCTTGGTTCTCACCTCCCGAGCAGCAGGAGCCGGGCCTTGAGCCAAAACCTGCAGAAGGAAGAAGAGAGGAGAGTTCCCTGCGTAGAGCCATCCATCTGCTGGCTGGTGACACCAACACCAGGGCCCCAGCAGAAAAGCAAGCTTGTTCGCTCTTGTCTGACTGTTAGTAGTGATGTATGAATAAGCAAAGAAGACAGCTTCATTTTCATAAGTTAACTTGTGCCTAGACTAAGGAAGATGGAGAACAGCGCACTTAATCATAACCACAGGCCCAGCTTGGAAAACAATGACAAAGCGTTTTCTGTGAGTCACAGTGTTTTATTACAATAACTCCCAAGAAGACGAGACAGGCAGTGCAGAATGCTGAGCAAGCCAGCACCCTGTAGCCACCTGTGTCATCTCCCCCAAGGAATCCCCTGGGATTTTACCTCTTCACACGATGGCAAGCTGAAGATGTGTTTGCACCATCAAGGTTACAGCTGTAGACTTGGGCCTCTGGAGACCAGGATTTAGATGCCACCTGGATGATGGGCTGGGATTGCTGGAACTGTCACAGATCACCTGTATCATCCATGCTGTCACCTGGTAGCAGAGGGGACTTCTCTCCTAGAAGGGTGTTACCCGACAGAACCCTTATTGGAAAAGCTTTTGGGGAGGCCTGGCTGCAGTGCTGGAAGGGATGTGGTAGGTGACTCGGTGGGAAGGGAGACATCCAACTTGTCTAGCAGGTATCACCCACTTACCCCCACAGAATCAATTACTCCCTACTTATTATTCCCCCATCTTGCTAATATCGCCCTGTCACTGCTAATATCATGCTGCTTCAAAATTGTTTATCTGTCTCCTCTTCTAGCTGCCCCCAGGGCAAGAACTATGTTTTTTTTGTCTTTCATTCCTTAGTATTTTGTGTGGTGTCTGACACAACTCAAACCCTCAATCGATACTAAGCTGAACCAACGTCTCAGCAAACTAAGGGCCATGTCAGCTAAGGACAGGAGGAGATGGCTGAGCTGGAGGTCCAGGCAGATGGAGCAGAGTGTAGGACCAGGGAGTTCTGGGTGCTTCCATAAGAGCAAATGCTTACTGAACGCTTTACTATTTCATCGACGCTTTTAGTGGTAATGTTTGAATAAGCACAAAACACAGCATCATTTTCACAAATTAACTTGTGCTTAGAGGAAAAAAAAAATTAGGTATGTTACTTACTATCTCTATTTTACAAGTGAATGAAGAAGCAAGCACAGAGAGGCTAAGTACCTTGTCCAGGGTCACATAGCTAGTAAGTGGAAGAGCCAGGATTTGAGCCCAGGCGTCTGGCTCTGGTGTTCATTTTCTTCACCACTTTACTGTACTCAGGAAGTATGGCATTGGAGACTACCAATGAATTCTACTGGTTTATGAGGTGAATGTAGACACCATGTGAGTTTATTATGTGCCAGTCACCCTGCAGGTGAAATTTACCCTTGACTAAAGCAGTAACGGAGCTTCCAAACTCCAATCAGTAATTCTCAAACTTTAATGTGCATCTGAATTACCTGGGGAGTTGGTTTATTTCAATGCAAATTACTAGACCCCGTGGCCAGAATTCTTATGCAGAAATATTGTGGAGTGAGGGAATTAATATATTATTTCCCCATATGCACCACCCCCGCCCCTGCCAATATTGAACCAACTTAGAGATAAAGGAGGGAGAGCCAGATGTCACCTTATTTTACTGATAAAGGTGAAATTGGAGGACTCAACTTTAGAGTCCTTCAGTATCTACAATGGCTCTTCCTAGCACCAAAACCCAGAGTTGGAATTGCTCAGCTATCCCAAGAAGTACTAGACAACCACAGCCTCACAGAGGAGGTCTGCTCTATAAAATTTAACAGCGTGAAAGAACAGATTCGATGCAGGCTATCTGTTGGCATGCTGGCTCCTGGAAGAAGGGACAGAGGAAGAGGCTAGGCCACATCAACTTGGTTGCCTCTGAAACTCACCTTTCTCTTCCCCATGGATGTGGAAGGAGTTATCTGTCACCAGTCAGATAACTGTCACCAGTCAGTTAACTCCTTTCACACCCATGGGGAAGAGAAAAGATCGGCTCAAGGTGTCAAGAAATCCCTCCTTCTAGAAACCGGAGAAGTAGGGGAAAGCATCCTCCCACTAATAACTAACTTCTAGGTTGAATGAAGCCCAGGAGCCTGTGCTTTTAGCAAGAATCTCAGGGGTTTCTGAAACAGATAGTCCTCAGACCACACTTAGAGAGGCAGAGTTCGAGAATGGCCTAATGGTTGTGCTGGATGACCTCCAAAGAAAACCTCATGGATAAGCTTGCTGTCTATCAGGGGCTTTCGGGTTAGGATAGGCAGTGACTATCATATGTACAGTGCTTAGAGTTCCAGCTTCTGTTCTAAGAACTTAACATGTATGAAGTCATTCCAGCATGTGAAGTCACAGCAGCTGTAAGAGTTAGATACCAAGGCAGAGATAGGTTAAGCAATTTTTTTCACGGCTACGCAGCTAGAAGGTGGCAGGGCTAGGAACCGGAACCAGGCAGCCTGAGTTCAGTCCACACTCTTTATCTCCAACTATATTGATGTTCATGGTTCCCTCTTCACACAGAAGCTGGGAAGGCACAGCCTGAAAGCAAAACTCAACACCGTTGAGAGGCTAAGCAACATCGCTTACCCTTACTACTGTTTTGATCATTGATATGGCAGCTAATGAATTTCTTTTAAAAAGCAAAATGAAGTCTCAGTAGCTGCTGATTATTCTGTTTTTTTCTCACCAATGGATATTAAAGTTCTAACTATCATGTTGCTAATTAAGGAATTTTTTAAGAGGATTGGCGTGCCTGAGAGGGTTAAGTGGTACTATCAAAAGCAATGCAGCCCAGGTACAAACTGAATGAAGAGCAATTTGGATATTATTCTTTGGGATAACGTGACTTTAGGTTAACCATGAAAATCATTCCTTCTCTGGAGATGAAGACCTTGAGTTTAAGCCTTATGTAGAGCACCCCAAGTGGGTGCTGCCTCCCCATCTTTGCAGTTTTCCATACAGGGGAGCGGGTGCCTGAGTTCCCAGAGCTGGGTGGAAGGTCTGTTAATATTGGTGACTACAGAGAGGGTGAAATGATTTATGAGGACACTAACACACACCCGATCAGGAAGGTTAACCCACTAGATGTCATTTATTTAGCAGACATTTATTAAGCACCTACTGTGTGTTCAGTACTACACCTTGTAGTATCTTGCCCTTGGAATAATGCAGGAAGTGGTTATTTATAAATGAGGTCTGTGGGTGCCTGAATATTGCCAACTTCATCTTTTATGGAGTGTAAGTCAGCTGCTGGCAAAATACCCGTAGGAGCCAGGCATGGTGGCTCACGCCTGTAATCCTAGCACTTTGGGAGGCTGCGGTGGGAGGATCGCCTGAGGTTAGGAGTTCGAGATCAGCCTGGTCAACATGGCGAAACCCTGTCTCTGCTAAAAATACAAAAATTAGCCAGACATGGTGGCAGGTGTCTGTAATCCCAGCTACTCAGGAGGCTGAGGCAGGAGAATCGCTTTAACTCGGGAGGCGAAGGTTGCAGTGAGCCGAGATGGCGCCATTTGCACTCCAGCCTGGGCGACAGAGCAAGACTCCATCTCAAAAAACAAAACAAAGCAAACAAACAAACAAAAAACAGTAGGAAGTACTAAATAGTGATGTCTTCCATCTAATATGGGAATGAAGATAAAGTAATAGTTCAGACTTGGGCTTATTCATAAAAGGCTTCATGCTGGAGATGGACCTTGAAAGGATTGTGGGTGGGGATTGGCAGGGGGGGCAAGGGCAATGCCTGCCAAGGGAGAGCTATATGAGCAAGGTAGAAATTAGACCACAGGCAACAAAATATTTTTGTTTGGCAGGAATAAAGTGTAGCTCGTAGAGTATTTGTCTGAAGAAGTAAACAGGCAAAATAAAATGTATGGGATGCCACCATATAAAATTTGGCCTTTCAGATATCTGAAGATGACCTTACCTGAAATTTAGATGGACCCCCTAAATTCAATAAAAGATCCTTCCCAGGCTGGGCGCAGTGGCTCACGCTTGTAATCCCAGCACTTTGGGAGGCCGAGGCAGGCGGATCACAAGGTCAGGAGATCGAGACCATCCTGGCCAACACGGTGAAACCCCGTCTCTACTAAAATACACAAAATTAACTGGGTGTGGTGGTGTGTGCCTGTAGTCCCAGCTACTCGGGAGGCTGAGGCAGGGGAGTTACTTGAACCCGGGAGGCGGAGGTTGCAGTGAGCCCAGATTGCGCCACTGCACTCCAGCCTGGCAACAGAGCGAGACTACGTCTCAAAAACAAAACAAAAGACCCTTGGGATACCCACCTGGGGCCTTAGTAATTATCTTAATAATTAGGTATCACCCCTCTCCCCCAACAATGACACTTCCCATCCTCATTGTGAGGTTATTAAATGAGGTCTCTAGCTGGGTCATAGCATCAGGACAGGACACACAGCTTTCCCAACTAAGGGCACCCTGCCTTTCAGATCTAATTGTTCTGCACAAATGTCCTAAGCTTGTTGCACATGGGATTGATTGACTCTTATACTCCCTGAATTGGTGTTATGTTTTTCTGAGGAATTCTACAAGTTTTAGATGTCATCATATACAATGACAAAGTGGGTGGTAGTGTTTTTCCCATGCCTCTGATTTATGTATTTGTGCCCGGGGTGATGATTTAGATAGGAGCTTAATAAAATTGATCGAATATATTACCCCAAACCCACACACCATCATTTCAGGGAGCTGTCATCATACCAAGGAGATGCTATATCACCCAGCATAGTGTTCCAAAAGAACCACTGTGTTTTCTTAAGTGCGGATGGGCTTCCATTTGGTCAGAAAGGTCTTTATTTCTCAAATTGGCCAACAGTACAAGAGTGTAAATTCAAAAGGTATTGGTTAGCTGTAGAAGAGAGTCATTGTTAGGTGTGTGACTTTTCCAAGTTATTTAAACTCTCTAAACCTCAATTTCCCTTTCTTTTTTTTTTTTTTTTTTTTTTTGTTTTGTTTTTTGAGACGGAGTCTTGCTCTCTCACCCAGACTGGAGTGCAGTGGTGCGATCTCGGCTCACTGCAAGCTCCGCCTTCCGGATTCATGCCATTCTCCTGCCTCAGCCTCCCAAGTAGCTGGGACTACAGGTGCCCGCCACCACGCCTGGCTAATTTTTTGTATTTTTAGTAGAGATGGGGTTTCACTGTGTTAGCCAGGATGGTCTCCATCTCCTGACCTCATGATCCGCCCATCCCGGCCTCCCAAAGTGCTGGGATTACAGGTGTGAGCCACCGCACCCAGCCCTCAATTTCCCTTTCTACAAAACGTGGATTGATAATTCCTGCCTAAAATATTTGTTTTTGTAAGGATAAGCAATAGTGCATCAAGACAGTGGGAGGAATCTTTGTTTCAAACAAATGTAGATGTCTATCCTAGCTCCATCTTTAGCTGTCCAAGTCACTGGTCCTTTGTGAGCCTGTTTCCTAGGCTGTGAAATGGTATTGGTAATAATTGCAAGAGAAGGCCTTCTGCATGATGGAGTTGTCTAAAGGAGCCAGGTGGATCAGATGTGAAGGCCCAGAGACATGTACGCCCTAAGAGATTGACCACAAGGCTAACTTGCCTAAGTTGCTAAGATGCAGCAGAGACTGAGGCCAACATCAACGCCAGCTCTGGGGACAGAGGAGCAGTTGTTATCTAGACAACACTCTTGTATTGATATGATATTGACATGATGCTTGTTGACACAAGATAAATATATTTGAAAGGAAGCAGTGAGGGTGAGAACAAAAACCCTGTAAGAAGGTGGACAAAGAGTGGCTCTTCTCTTTGGGCTCTCGTCTCAGCAAACAAGGGTAATCCCTCCTCCCTGTCGTGAGAAACCAATCCCAGTCCATTCCCAGAAAACGAGTAAATTAATGTACAGTGGGAAATACCAGAATGGGAATGCTTGAGAAATAGTATGCCTGTCAATAAATATGTGCTCCATGAGTTAGGAAAGAAATGCATGCATGCATGCATGAATGAATGAATGAATGAATGAATGAATGAATGATTTGGGATTCTAGCTTTATCAGATTCACTAGGTGACCTGCAGCAAATCAGTTAACTGTTCTGGGCCTCTATTTCTTCTCTATAAAATGGAAATAATAAAAATGACTGCCTAATGGTGAGAATTAAATATGTTAATGCAAGTTAAGCTGTTAGGTCAGAGGCTGGCACTTCATAAAACCTCTCAGTAAGTGAATACTGTTGTTGTGATGATTTGCCATTACCCTGTGTCTTCAATAGTCACTGATCCAGATGGCTTGGCTTCTCCTTTTAAGATGTTTGTATTCTCTGTACCTCACAGGTCAGCAAGTCCTGGGCTTGGTGGAGAACCAGAGTGACTGGTACCTTGGAAACCTGTGGAAAAATCACCGCCCATGGCCAGCCCTTGGAAGAGGCTACAACACAGGTAAATCCTCAGGGTGGTATGGGAAGAGTTGCAGAAGGTGATATGAGGACCCAGTGCTCCTTCCGCAGGAGAGGAGATTGCAAAAGCTCAGGAGGAGGCCACCTGATTGCTTGAATTCAGTGGTGGATGGTTTGTGGGCAGTTTGCATTCCAGTTCCTTCTTGGTGCTATACCCACAGGTAGAGTAACCGTTGGGCTGTGGCAGTCTGTGGCATCTCACCAGAAAGCCCCTCTCCTGACCTCTAATCCAGATCCTATTGGATATCTTTATCAGTATGACCCATAGGTTCCCTGGCTCTGTTAATACAGACCAGATATCATTCTTCAGTAACAACCCCATTTCAGTTTCTTAACACAACGGATATGTACTTTTGCCAATCACATTCCACGTCCACTTGAGGTCTTCAGGGATCTGTGTTCACTGTGGGTACTCAGGATTCATCTCCATGCATACTTCCATGTATGTGGTGGGAAAGTAGCAGAAGTTGTATTATCTCTTAAAGTTTTTGTTTAGAAGTGACGTAATTTCATATTTCATTGACTAAGCATGTTGTGTGGCCATGCCTCCCTTTAAAGCGTGTGGGCAAGTGCAGTCTACCATGTGCCTGGCAGGAGAAAAAGCAGATATATTTGCTAATCAGCACTTTTGAGGACCACATGTGCCTGGCAGGAGAAAATGCAGAAATATTTGGTAATCAGCACTTTTGAGGACCACAGACCTATAACCATGTGTCTAAAATAAAATCCATTATTCTACCTCGTTACTAGCCCCAAACTTGCATCTCCTCTTCAGTTTCTTTCTCTGTTATTGGTGTCCTTCATTCATCCATCAACCCTTCTTGTTCACCAGCTGTCCCTTGAATGCTTACTGTGTACGAGGCCCTATGCTAGCTGCAGCAGACACAGTCCATGACCTCATGGGGTGTATAAGCAATGAAACTAGGGCAGCCTCTTCCTCCTGAGGCTCAATTCCCATCAGTGTCTATCTTTGACATGCTTCTGGATCCTTCTGCCTCCCTCCTCCATCCTCATTGCCACTGCTGTGGTATCCCATTCTCAAAGGATGCAGACTCCTGATCTTTGTCAGACTAGAATGTGGAACTCAGGGAACAGTAGGATGGGTGAGACCAAGAAGGGCTGGAACTTGGCATCTGAGACCAGCAAATGAAGTGGGTTGGGACAGGTGTCTGGCTCTGGGGACAGTACCACCTAAAAGTGATAAGTGAAGCCTGCCCTGGAGGCTGAGGCCAGTCTGTAGTGGGATCAGCCAAAAAGAGTCCCAAATTCTGAGAGCTGATGGTCAGACTCCAGAAAAGTCAAATGCAAACACAGGGTCCCAGAGAACAAAGGAGAAGGGACATGAGTCAAGCTTCCAGAGGTAAGAGTTCACAGATGGGGTCAGAGTGGGGGTCAAAGCTAGAGGAGGACAAGGAAAGAAAGTCCAGCATCAATGTCCAGAGGTGGCAGGCAGCCAGGGAGCCCTGTATTGACGGCCATCCTAAGAGACGGGGACATTCCTTAGCTAACATTTGCCTGAGTATTAGATATGCCTTGCTCTATGTAATTTTTTTTTTCCTGTAATGCCTACCAGGCAAACAGAGGTTGTGATTGAAGAATGTCAACCACCAGCCCTTCACAGACTCCAGATTCCCACCCTGGAGTCTCCCATGCTGTGTTGGGCATTAATACTTTAGTTGCTGGATGATGGGGAAGTCTGAGGAGTTCCTGAGAGGGGCCAGGTTGGGGAAAGGCAGCTGAGGGCATCAGAGCAGTGGTTCTCTTAGCAGGTCAGGAGGTATTTCACTCTTTTCAATAATGGGTAAGGCAGGGCCTCTACGTATCAGCTGAGTATTAGCCAGGCACCATGTTAGGTGCTTTATGGTTGTCAGTCTCCTTTGATCCTCACACTCATCCTATGAGGCAGGTGCCATGCCTATACCAGAAGAAACTAGTCTATACCAGAGGAAACTGAAGATTGGAGCATCGAAGGCTGCAACCCTGAAAAGTCAAGGAGCCTGTGGTGTTAACTACCAACCTGCCTTGCTTGAACTTTAATGGCTTCAGGATTAAACACTTTTCAACAATGGAGAATTCTGGGCTCTGCCCTTCAAGAGTCTGATTGACTAGGTCTGTGCAGGAGACTGGGATTCTGTCCTATAGGAAGCCTCTAGGATGTTTCTGGGGCAGAATGTCCAAGGGCCTGCTCTGATTAAACATGGCACTCTGTTTCCTGTCCCAGCAAGCTCTCCCAGACGCTGTTTTCTCAGTGCATTGGAGACTGGACCCTCCATGAACCCACAGCGGGCCAGGGACGGGGGTTCCACGTGCTTTCCTCTGGCAAACGACTAGTCACCCCGTGTTGATCTTTTGTGCCTGGATTTTCAGACACGTTCCCTCCAAGCTTTCATGGAGGTGGAGACACCTATGTTTCTGGGTGGAGAAAGGAAGTCTCAGGAAAACCCTGGTGTATACATTTCGTTTCTGTCTTCCAAAATATATAATAGAAAATGTCACATAGAAATATACTGCAGTGCCTCAGGGATGCTGCATCAAGATCACGGTTTCCTGCGTAAAACAAAAGCCGCTGGTCATCAATCCGGGTTTGCAGAGAGAAGAAGAATGTAGCACACTAGGGAATTTATTACAACCAAAATGGCATGTCTCTTCCTGCCCTTCCCTATTTGCTATAGAATGTAGCATCAGGAGACACAGGAGCACGTAAACCACCTCCAGTTCCCGCTTGATTTGTCAAAGCAGTGAGTTACTTCCCTCCTCGCTGGTACTGAAAGGGCAGAGCAGAAGAGGGAAAGCCCTGTTGAAGTGATGTGTCCATTTAAATAAGCCAGTGACACTGAGTGATTATTATGAAAGGACTTAGGCAACATCAAAATGCAAAAAAATGGCTTTCACGAAGGGGATGTGTCGCTTTAAAACCAAGGATTGTGCCACCCAGTGAATGAGTCATCCAGACATGTAGATTCTCATGGAAACTGAGGACGACCCTGGAGAGAACCTGCCACCCTAAATCCCAGCACATCTGAAGCCTCCAAAAAGAATATCTCCAGCAGAACCTCCTGTCTTATGCCTTCAGCTTGATGTTAGGAACTCAGGCAGATCTGGGTTAGAGCTGCAGTACAGTCATTTAGTCTTCTTATGCAACTTGGCCAAGTCACTTCACTCCTTGAACCTCAGTTCTCTCCTTTTTTTTTTTTTTTTTTGTTTCTTTTTTTTTGAGACAGAGTCTCGCTCTTTCGCCCAGGCTGGAGTGCAGTGGCGCAATCTCGGCTCACTGCAAGCTCTGCCTCCCGGGTTCACGCCATTCTCCTGCCTCAGCCTCCCGAATAGCTGGGACTACAGGCGCCCACCACCACGCCCGGCTAATTTTTTTTTTTTTTTTTTTTTTAGTAGTGACGGGGTTTCACCACGTTAGCCAGAATGGTCTCGATCTCCTGACCTCATGATCCACCCGCCTCAGCCTCCCAAAGTGCTGGGATTACAGGCATGAGCCACCGTGCCCAGCAGTTCTCTCTCTTTTTTAAGATAGGACAAGGCCAGGCACGGTGGCTCACGCCTGTAATCTCAGCACTTTGGGAGGCCGAGGTGGGTGGATCACGAGGTCAGGAGTTGAAGACCAGCCTGGCCAAGATGGTGAAACCCCATCTCTACTAAAAATACAAAAAATTAGCTGGGCATGGTGGTGTGTGCCTGTAATCCCAGCTACTCGGGAGGCTGAGGCAGAGAATTGCTTAACCCAGGAGGTGGAGGTTGCAGTGAGCCGAGATCATGCCACTGCACTCCAGCTGGGCGACAGACTGAGACTCTGTCTCAAAAAAAAAAAAAAAAGACATAACAAACCTAGTATGTGAGGATTAGCAATTAATGTTGTAACTTGTTTAATGAGCCTAGCCTGATCCAGGGCACAAAGTAAGTACTTAGTAAATCTTGGTCTTTCTCCTCTTGCATTTTTCTGCCACTTGCTCTATCAGGGAATGAGATTTACCGACTGGAAAAAGGAGGTTATGTGATTGACTGGGGTTTGCTAAGGTCTCCCAAGCCCTTTGGTCAGAAAGAACGAGTAAGTATTTTACTTTCCCCAGGTGTAATCCAGCTACCTAGCAGTTTTTCCTGTATCTCTTTACTATCTGAAAAGGTTAGCTTTTTATATCACATTAGGAAAAAAAATGACTATTTAGTTCGCATATCAGCTTCCTCGCTGTGTTTTACTTTGAAAATCCCCAGAAAAGCATATGAGATGTTTGTGTTGGAAGCTCTGCCTTCAAGACCTGGCGTTGTTGCTTTTGAGTTCTGTGCCTTTTGGAAAGCTTACCCAAGCTCAGGGAGCCTTGGGCTTCTCATTTATGAACTGGGGACCTCAGAACCCACTCGGAGGCTCTGTTGTGGTGGCGCAGCCACGTGTGCCTGGGGTAAACCAAAGTACTTTAGCAAGTTGGTTGTGATTTTTATTTATCCCCCTAACCATAGCCCAACTGAATAACTCTTTTCAGCTAATTCAGATTCAACCGCAGACATCAAACACAGCCTCTTCACTACACATTCATTCATTGACTCATCCCACCAGGCATCATACCAGGCACCATAGCGTGCATGGGCTTTGTTAATTCCTTGAATTATCTTATAAACTAGACTTTTCCCCCTACAAGAGTCAGTCAGTTTCCCCCGTTCTCTTTGTTTGCTTTTCTTTCCCAGTCTGCTTTTCCAAAGCCTACATGGCCACAAAACATTAGAGAAGATCTTTCCACCATCTCCCATTCATCTCCTTCCCTTTTTACTAGAGCTGTTCCCAACTTAATTCCAGAAGCTACTGAGCCACCGCAGCTTCGGATGGATAACCAGGCAGATCCTAGCATGAAGCTCTTGCCCATAACTGTTCGGGTGAAATTACAGGCGTCTTTCACAGTCTTGCACAGAAACGGGTCAGTTTCCAACCGCTCTGCCCAGGCATCATCTCCTAGATGCAAGAAGCTGTCATTCACCCAGCATTCAGCTGTGAGCAGGACTTAGAAAACAACAACAAAAATACACCTAGGATTTTGACAGGCTCATTAAGATTCAGCTCTCTTCAGTTCCTAAGCTGACGGATGAATATCTTAAAAACAAACAACAGCAAAGAAAAGGGGAAGGAGGGCTAAACATAGCAGGGGATTGGAGAATGAGGTGAGGGAAGGCAGGTCGGTAGAAAGAAGATGGCATGTTTGCAGATAGGTTTATTTGCATGGGACCCCAAAGGCGACTCAAGCACAAGGTGCGTCCTCCCCAAGTTGAAGGGTGTAACACTAGCCAGAGAATGTGCTTTTTAAAACAATTTAAAAATAAAATGTATCGTGTTTCATTCAGCCCCCAAATTAGGGCAGAGACAGGCAGATGGAGACCTGGCTGTTTAGGGAGGGAGGAAGAATTTCTCTCGGAATCCTTCTCTGCAGGACAACAAAATTGGAATGCTCAAGGACTGGCTCACCTCTGAGGTTAGAGCAAACCGTGGAAGGCAATGGGCAGTACAGTCAGATACCATGGAAAATTCTGTGGCAGAGATTCAAAAGGAGAAAACATTTGATAGTTTGCCAAAGAACTGTTAAATAGCTTTAGTGGGATAAATAGAAATATGCAATCTAGGCTCAACTTACCTCTGCCTCTGACATCCAGCATTCTGGGACCCTGGCTAAGTCCCTTCATTTCTCTGCATCTTAATTGTCTCTGATGTCAGGAACTAAGATCTCTTCGTGTTCTGAAAGAATACTGTGATTGGGTGATTTCTGTCTGTAATAATTGCATCCAGAGAAGCTATATTTAAATACAATTTATTCATTCATTACATGCTACTGAATACCTATAATACTGGCAAGGGTAGGGTAGAAAACTGTTTTGTTTTGTTTTTTAAATGGGTGATACCAAGAACCTTCCTTCAAAAAGTTTATCGTCTAATAGAGAAGCGTTTGCATATCTGCAAATAAAGTTAATATGACTTGAGCCTCTTCCATGATTGAGATCCAGAATTGATCATCAGCCCTGCAGTAATAACCCCTAGACTAGCGTTTTCTAGACTAATTCCAGAGGTCACTGCAAGGGATGTGAATATGTGTTTAGAAATTGTGAACAGAGGCCAGGTGCGGTGGCTCACACCTGTAATCCCAGCACTTTAGGAGGCCGAAGCGGGTGGATCACAAGGTCAGGAAATCGAGACCATCCTGGCTAACATGGTGAAACCCTGTCTCTACTAAAAATACAAAATAAATAAATAAATTAGCCGGTCATGGTGGCACGTGCCTGTAGTCCCAGCTACTCAGGAGGCTGAGGCAAGAGAATCGCTTGAACCTAGAAGGCGGAGGTTGCAGTGAGCCGAGATCGTGCCTGCATACTGTGTCTGCCCTTTGGAGATTCATATGTGCATGTTAGAGATCTTATAAAGTCTGGAAGTAAAGAAAGCTATTACACCCAGAAGCATTTCCCAGTTTTACTTGATCCTAGAGCTACGGAAATAAATTAGGGACAAACTGCCTGTAGATGGAGTCTGTAGAATAATCCCACTGAAAGATGTGTGCTATTCTAAGAACAGTTCTTCTGACATCGTGCTCAATAGAAATGTCTACTCCCTACTTTCTTTTGTACTGTAGGTTCTCATTCATCTTTCTGCTGCAAGGATGTAGACACTGTCTTAGGTGCTATAACAGATGTCCCATAGACTGGGTGGCTTAACTACAAACATTTCTCACAGTTCTGGAGCCTGGGAAGTCTAAGATCAAGGTACCCAGCCATTCTAGTGTGTGGTGAGGACTTACTTTCTTGTTTGCACATGGACACCTTCTCATTGTATCCTGACATGGCAGAGAGCAGGGAAAGAAAATATTCTGTCTGTATATCCTCTTTTTTTGTTTTTGTTTTTTTGAGACAGAGTCTTGCTCTGTCACCCAGGCTGAAGTGCAATGGCAATATCTCGGCTCACTGCAACCTCCACCTCCCGGGTTCAAGCGATTCTCCTGCCTCAGCCTCCTGAGTAGCTGGGATTACAGGCACACGCCACCACACCTGGCTAATTTTTGTATTTTTAGTGGAGGTGAGGTTTCACCACGTTGATCAGGCTGGTCTTGAACTCCTAACCTCATGATCCACCCGTTTCCACCTCCCAAAGTGCTGGGATTACAGGCGTGAGCTGCCGCGCCCAGCCTTGTGTCTCTTCTTACAAGGTCATTAATCACATTAATGAAGTCCCTACCTTCATGACCCTAATTACTTCCCAAAGGCCCCACCTTCTAATACTGTCTCATTAGGAATTAGGATTTTAAAGTATTTTATTTTATTTTTTGAGATAGGGTCTTGCTCTGTCAGTCAGGCTGGAGTACAGTGGCGCAGACACAGCTCGCTGCAGCCTCGACCTCCTAGGCTCAAGCAGACCTTGCAGGCTCAAGCGATCCTCTCACCTCAGCCTCCAGAGTAGCTTGGACTACAGCTGTGCACCCCCACCCTAGGCTCATTTTCTTATTTTTTATATAGACAGGGTCTCACTTTGTTGCTCAGGCTGGTCTCGAATCCTGAGCTCAAGCAATCCTCCCACCTCTGCTTCCCAAAGTGCTAGGATTACAGGTGTGAGCCACTATGCCTGGACGGGTTTAGGACTTTAATGTGTGAATTTGGGGGAGATATGACATTCAGTCCATTGCAGGTACCATATCATTGCACCTGCTTAATCACTCTGCTGTGTGTCATTGCATAACTGAAGCGAGCATCCTTCCAAAACCTTCTGTCCATAGGTAGGAATTCTGTGAGAGATGGCTTCTACACCTTTTCCAATCCTGATTGGTTGACCACCTTTAGATAGCTCCACTTTTTCTCTTTGGAAGTGACACTCTGACCTGAATGATATGCAGTGGCCATTATCCAACAATTGAAGGTTCACACCTCCACCTGTAAACTTCCGCTCACTGTTCTGAATCACTTAAAATTCCTGTTTAAAATGTCAACCTCAGGGCCCTGCCCCCAGAGAAAGTGAATCTCAATGTCTAGAGATGAGGCTGGGTGACTGTTCTTTTAAACATGCTCCCTACTTGATTCCGATGGTTACTTAAGTTTGAGAACCAGTACCTAGGCCTCTGATGATGTACTTTTACTGCCACATTGCACTTCTAGCTCAAATTGAACTTGAGTTCAACTGAGAAGCTCCATGAATGACTTTTCAGCCAAATGCTCCCCTTTCTGTACTTCTGTAGTAGCCTTATTGAGTCTAAAGTACAGATTTTATATTGGTCTAGTGAGTTTTATCTTCTTTGGACCATTCTTTTCATCATTTTATTAGATTTCATATTAGGGTATCCACAAAAATACTAAAAATGCCTTCTGTTCCTTCACCCAGTGTCCTTGCCCCATATTTGTAACAAATGTTTTGAATGCCTCTTTTATAATCCTGGAATGAAATTCAAGGATTACATCTATATTATATTGCCTACAAGTGTAATTTTTTTTTTTTTTTTTTGAGACAGAATCTCACAGCAGAGCCCAGGCTGGAGGGCAGTGGTGCAATCTCTGCTCACTGCAACCTTCGTCTCCGGGGTTCAAGCCATTCCCGCGCCTCAGCCTCCTGAGTAGCTGGGATTACAGGCGCACACCACCATGCCCAGCTAATTTATGTATTTTTTTTAATAGAGACGGGGTTTCACTGTGTTGGCCAGGCTGGTCTCATACTCCTGACCTCAAGTGATCCGCCCACCTCAGCCTCCCAAAGTGCTGGGATTACAGGCGTGAGCCACCGTGCCCAGCCATAATTATAATTTTTTTAAAGAAAATTAATATAGTGCCCTGGCTTTAATATAAAGAGTAAATAAAATAAAATTATTATAAAATAATATTTACTTCAACGTGTAATGGTCAGGTTTGGCTATAGTAAATGACCTAATAAAGTGGTCAGATGCTTCTGTGCCTGTATTTGGGATAGAACTGTCTTCACTGTGACGCCTACGAGTGCTGAATGGTACTGATACATTACCAGCACTCGGCATTTCATGAGTGGGGTTTGCCAAATTTGTGGTACATTTTTCCAAAGTAGTGAACAACTCTTGGTAAAGTATCAGATAACAGGAAGTACCATCTTCGCTTGACTTGTTCTCCAAGTTCAGTGACTATTCAAACCATGCAAAAAAAAAAAAATGGTTTTAAAAAATATCCCGTAAGTAGTGTTAGTTCCAGGCTCAAATATTGATAGGGTTTGGATCTGTTTCCCTGCCCAAATCTCATGTTGAATTGTAATCCCCAGTGTTTAGGTGGGGCCTGGTGGGAAGTGATTGGATCATGGGGGTGGATTTCTCATGAATGGTTTAGCACCATCACCTTGGTGCCGTTCTCATGATAGTGAGTGAGTTCTCATGAGATCTGGTTGTTTAAAAGTGTGTATGGCCGGGCGCAGAGGATCATGAGGTCAGGAGTTCGAGACCAGCCTGGCCAACATGGTGAAACCCCATCTCTACTAAAGATACAAAAAATTAGCCAGGCGTGGTGGCATGCACCTGTGATCCCAACCACTCGGAAGGTGGAGGCAGTACAATCTCTTAAACCAAGGAGTTGGAGGTTGCAGTGAGCGGAGATCATGCCATTGTACTCCAGCCTGGGTAACAGAGCAAGATTCCATCTCAAAAAAAAAAAAAAAAAGTGTGTAGCACTTCCAAGCTCGTTCTCTGTCTCCTGCTCCTGCTCTGGCCATGTGAGGTACCTGCTCCCCCTTTGCCTTCTGCCATGATTGGAAGCTTCCTGAGGCCTCCCCAGAAGCTGAGCAGATGCCAGCACCATACTTCTTGTAAAGCCTGCAGAACCGTGAGCCAATGAAATGACTTTTCTTTATAAATTACCCAGTCTTGGGTATTTCCCTGTAGCAACACGAGAACAGACTAACACAGATACTTAACAATTATGTGTAATTATAAACATGAACGGCCTGTGGTACCCACATGTTATGTGGGTGCATTTTTCATTGTGCTGGACACTCCTGGGAAGGAGCACTGCCTGCTTTGAAAGTCGAAGGTTGGAGGTGTTGCCAGTGTTCAACAGGCTGGCTGGATGCAAAGCTGTGCTGTGTTTAAAATCCTTCCTGGGGTTGGCAGCAATGAGTAAGATAATGCTCCTTGCTCACAGAGAGTAGTCGGCCAGCTGAAAGCCTGCTTGGCAGTACTGCCATGGGCTACTTCTCTCCACTTAACCTTTATCCAAATTCAGTGACCCAACCAAAGCTTATTCACTTTGTATCCTGATCCAGAATCTTCTTTGGCCTCAGGTCTGCCTCCTGGATTCACAGAGAATAAACCTACTCCCTCTTCCACCTGCTTACCCCCAGAAATCTAACTGAAAGAAAGCAGACAATGCCTTCTCATCTTGCCTTCTGTAGTCCTGGCACCCTGGTTTCCTCAGGAATTCCTATATGTCACTTAGTCTCTGAGCACCAGTTCACTCATATGTGAGTTGAGGATGGTTATAGTAAGTACCATAGAAAGGATTGTTCTGAAAAGTAAATGAGATAATAGAGTACATTTAATGTGATGAGACAAGGTTTAGCACATAGTAAATGCTCAGTAAATGTAGGCATAGTTACCTTGTTTTTTAAGAGGCAGACGGAGGGCCTGCAGTATGTCTGGCCTCTTGCCTTATTGGTCAACCTGGGATCCTATAGCTCATATTTTATTTTTGCTATTAAGAGACTGTATTGCTTGTATTCTGGAGTTGAACAGTCTTTGGTCCAAGTCCCACCTCCACCTGTTACTAGCTCCCTTATTCTGGGGAATGAACAACTTTTTCATTTCAGGATAAAAAGAATTCATATTTCACACAGATGCCTTCAGGAGAAAAGGAGTTAATGTTTTCAAAGTGCATGGGACAGTGTCTGGGTCAATAAATGTTAGATATTAGTATTTTCCCACTCCTTTATTGATTGATTGATTGATTGATTGATTGATTGATTTTATTTTATTTTTTATTTTTTGAAACAGAGGCTCACTCTGTCGCCCAAGGCTGGAGTGCAGTGGCGTGATCTCTGCTCACTGCAACCTCCACCTCCTGGGTTCAAGCAACTTTCCTACCTCAGCCTCCCAAGTACCTGGGACTACAGGCATGCATCACCACACCTGGCTAATTTTTTGTATTTTTGGTAGAGATGGGGTTTCACCATGTTGGCCGGGCTGGTCTCGAACTCCTGACCTCAGGTGATTCACCCCCCTCGGCCTCCCAAACTGCTGAGATTACAGGCATGAGCCACCGCGCCCAGCCTTCCTTTTCCTTTAATACTCGAAGTACGTAAATGGGGAAAGAGGATTACGTCTGTGTCTTTTGACAGTAACTCCGTCTTTTGCCCAGGTAAGGTATTTGGAGCTGAGCATTCTCCCAGGGCTGACCATCCACGTGTTCATTCATTTGTTGGACAGAAATTAAACATGCATCTAGCACATGCAATGTGCCAAGCTTCTCTGTAGGCCCTGGGGTGCCACAGTGAACAAGACAAATGGGAACCCTGTTTACAGGGAGGTTACTGGTTATTGTGGGGGAGAAACTGTCTTCCTTCTTGTGCTTTTTTGATGTCGTTTCCTGGAAGTGTTCCCCACACTCGCTCCACTCCAGCCACTCTGGCTTCCTTGCTGCTCTTTGAACACACCTATTTAAATGTGAGCCTCTCTGCCTCCAAACTACAGCCTCCATGCTATTCCGTTTTCCACCTTATTCTCCTCCAGCACTTTTAAGTACCATCTGACCAACTACAGTTTGGTTCATTTTCTTTTAATTTCCCTGTGTCTTTCCATGAGGATATAAGTTCCTCAAAGGTAGTAATTTTTTTCTGTCAATTTCACTGCTGTCTATGGCCATACCACCCTGAATGCACCCAATCTCATCTGAATTTCACTGCTTTATCCCCCATACCTGGAATCATGCCTGGCCTGTATTAGGCACTAAGTATTTGTTGTTGAATAAAATAAATAATTTTGGAAGATAAGTGTTTCGAAGACAGTGATATAGAGCAGCATTTCTCATGGTTGCTCGTGGGAAATTTTACAACCCATGGGACACCGGCAATGTCTGGAGACATTTTTCTTGTCACAGCCAGGAGGTTCTACGGGCACTTAGTGGGTAGAGGCCAGGGATGCCACTAGTACACCAGACAGTCCCCCCATAACAAAGATTCATCTGGGTCAGGTGCAGTGGCTCATGCCTATAATCTCAGCACTTTGGGAGGCCAAAGTGAGTGGATCACTTGAGGTCAGGAGTTCGAGACCAGCCTGGCCAACATGGTGAAACCCCACCTCTACTATAAACACAAAAATTAGCTGGGTGTGATGGTGGTAGGCGCCTGTAATCCCAGCTATTTGGGAGGCTGAGGCACGAGAATCGCTCGGACCCAGGAGGCAGAGGCTGCAGTGAGCTGAGATCGTGCCACTACACTTCAGCCTGGGCAATAGAGCGAGACTCCATCTCAAAACAAACAAACAAAAAACAACAACAACAACAACAAAAACAAAGATTCATCTGGCCACAAATACCACTAGTGGAACCCTAACAGAAAAGCAAGTTTTGAGGGAATTGGATTCTTCTAGAAAGGACCGTTTCTTTGGGTAGAGTCTCTGAGAAGACGACATTTGAGCTAAGACCTGAAGGATGGAAAGGCGGCAGCCATGCTGAGAGCTGGAATGAGCATCCCAGATAGAGAGGACGGCACGTGCAAAGGCCACCAAGCAGGCGTGTACTTGGGTGATCGTGTTTCCCTCTCATGATCATGGCCCTCATCATTCCTGGCACTGCACCCTCTGCTCTTGTCACCTTTATCTAGTAATGCATGAGTGGTTGATATGGTCAGGCCCTGTGTCTCCACCCAGATCTCATCTTGAATTGTAATCCCCATGTGTCAAAGGAGGAACCTGATGGGAGGCAATTGCATTATGGGGGTGGTTCCCCTATGCTGTACTTGTGATAGTGAGTTCTCCTGAGATCTGAGGTTTTTTAAGGTGGCGATTTTTCCTGTGCTTGCAACTGGACTTCTCTCTTGCCTGCCACCATGTAAGACGTGCCTGCTTCCCTTTCCACCATGATTGTAAGTTTCCTGAGGCCTCCCCAGCCATGCGGAACTGCGAGTCAATTAAACCTCTTTTCTTCATAAATTACCCAGTCTCGGGAATGTCTTTATAGCAGGGTGAGGATGGACTAATACAATGGGATTCTTCAGGTGTTCAGACCCCAAGTGCCCTCGCTTTCTTCCCTCCATGCCCTCTGGACTCTCTGACTCGTACTAACACACTTTGGAACCATGATGTGGTCCTGTTGACCTGCCTGTGCCCCAAGGTTCCTGAAGATCACCACTAGCACAGAGTGAATAATGGCAAAATTCAGCCTCATAGGATGGGAGCCGGCCTGGGCTGGCTTTGTCCAGTTGTCCGTATCCACAGCCCCTCCTCTTCCCTGCTCACTCCAGCCGCCTCCCTCCAGCCACTCTGGCCCCCTGGCTGTTGCCCAGGCACATTCTCACCCCTGCAATCTGAGCTCTTTGCCTGGACCGCTCTTCTGCTAGCAGCTCTCTGGCTTATCCCATTACTTCCTCAGTCCTTGGATCAGGTGTCATCTCCTCAGAGTGGGCTTCCCTAGCCATCCTATTCAAAGCGGCAGTCTCCATCCCTTTACTCTGATTTATATTTCTTCTTTGCACTTTCCATCCATGTTATAAAATATGTTTTTGATTATTTGACTGCTGTCCATCACAGTAGGCAGAATCCCCCACCCCCATCCTAGTATCCAGGCTCTAAGCCCTGGAACCTGTGGATATGTTATGTCCCATGGCAAAAGAGACTTTGCAGCTATAATTATGGGCTTCAACATAGGGAGTTTATCTTGGATTATCTGGTGGGCCCATTCTAATCACATGAGCCTGTAAAAGCAGAGAATTTCTGGCCGGCTGCAGTGGCTCACGACTGTAATCCCAGCACTTTGGGAGGCCGAGGCGGGTGGATCACAAGGTCAGGAGATTGAGACCATCCTGGCTAACACGGTGAAACCTCGTCTCTACTAAAAATACAAACAATTAGCCAGGCATGGTGGCACATGCCTGTAGTCCCAGCTACTTGAGAGGCTGAGGCAGGAGAATTGCTTGAACCCGGGAGGTGGAGGTTGCAGTGAGCTGAGATTGTGCCAGTGCACTCCAGCCTGGGCGACAGAGCGAGACTCTGTCTCAAAAAAAAGAGCAGAGAATTTCCTCCACCTAGATGTAGAAGAGATAGAGTCAAAGGGGAAGTCACAGAAACTTGAAGTAGGAGAAGGACTCAACCTGCCATTGCTGGTTTGAAATGGAGGAAACAATAGGACAAGGAGTTGCAGATGGTCGTTAGATGCTGAGAGTGGCTCCCATTTGATTGAGAAAGGGCGTGGGGACCTCCGTCCTACATAGAACTGAATTCTGCCAACAACCTGGATGAGCTTAGAAGTGGTTTCTCCCCGAGAGCCCCGGGCAAGAGCCCTGGATGGCTGCACCTTGACTTTGGTCTTGCAAGACTCTAATCAGAAGACCCACCTGAGCCCCCAAGATTTCTCACCTACTTAACTGTGAAATAATAAGGGTGTGGATTTTAAGTGGCCAAAGTATTTTGTTATGGCTGCAATAGAAAGCTAATATCCCTGTCCTTCCCACAAGAATGAAAGTTCCATGAGAGTAAGATCTTGTTTTCTTTGTTCCTATGTCCCTATCTGGTGTGTGAAAAGCTCTCAATAAATATTTGTTGACTGAGTAAATGAATTCTACACTCCCACCTGCATTTCTCCCCAGAGGGCAGGGAACACACTGGTGATTAGAAATGGAGAAGGGGCTTGAAAAGCCACTGGTGGGAAACATTCCATATTCCTAGGTCCTGCCGGCTGCCCATTTAGTAGGCAGTTGTCCAGCAGATACTAGGTGCCTGGAATCATGATTGGCATTAGGAGTAGAAATTAAAAAGAAAGGCTGGGCACGGTGGCTCACGCCTGTAATCCCAGCATTTTGGGAGGCCGAGGCAGGCGGATCACGAGGTCAAGAGATAGAGAGCATCCTGGCCAACATGGTGAAACCCCATCTCTAGTAAAAATACAAAAATTAGCTGGGCGTGGTGACACACGCCTGTAGTCCCAGCTACTCGGGAGGCTGAAGCAGGAGAATCGCTTGAACCCGGGAGGCGGAGGTTGCAGTGAGCTGAGATCACACCACTGCACTCCAGCCTGGTGACACAGCGAGACTCTGTCTCAAAAAAAAAAAAAAAAAAAGTCCGGGCGTGGTGCCTCACACCTGTAATCCCAGCACTTTGGGAGGCCAAGGCCTTGGTAGCAGATCACAAGGTCAGGAGTTCAAGACCAGCCTGACCAACATAGTGAAACCCCATCTCTACTAAAAATACAAAAAATTAGCCGGGCTGGTGGCGGGTGCCTGTAATCCCAGCTACTCTAGAAGCTGAGGTAAGAAAATCGCCTGAACCCAGGAGTTGGAGGTTGCAGTGAGCCGAGATCGCACCTTTGTACTCCAGGCTGGGCGACAATGCGAGACTCCGTCTCAAAAAAAAAGAAAGTAAAAAAGAAAATGGGTGTCTACTTGCACCACCATTGCCTCCCCCGCCCCCCAAAAAAAACACACAAAACACTAGATGACCCACATAGAGCCAAAAATCAGAAGATTAAGGACAGTGAAATGCAATGTGGCCTGCACTATGATGGAGGAGTCTGTACACAATTCCGAGAGCTAGAGTGGAGGCCTGCACGGGTGGGTGGAGAAAAGCTTCAAAGTGGGTAGAACTGGAAGTGGGGGATGGTGGCATGGACTTTGCAGAGCTTGCTGTTCAACAGAGCAGCAAGCCCCCAGCCCAGGTTGGAAGGTGTGAAAATACTTGGGATGGCCAGAGCAGCACACACGGTGGTTTTTAGTTTCACTGAAGGTGCAGCTTGTAGGGTATGTGCCCAATGTAGGAGGAGCAGGGAGGAGCTCAAGCTCTGTCTCACCCTTGACTAGCTGAATGGTCTTGGGCAAATCCCTTTGTCACATTTTGGGTTTTTATGGTCTGACTTTCCTCACCTAGAAGATGGGAGCATCAGTGTAGACTCACGAGATTGGCAGAAAAAATGGCATGAATGGGAAATAGCTGGCACAAAGTAAATGCTCAGCAAGTGATAGCTAAGATTCGTGGTGCAGCCACAGGGAGTATGGGACAAGAGGCTCCTGTCATGTCGAGGCTGGGAATCAGGGAGGTCTAAGGTCTGAACGGTAACCAGGCAGTTCAGCCTTATCCAGCAAGCTGGAAGGTTCTTAAACAATACAGTTTCCCGCCTGGCCCTCAGGAGAAACCGCCCTCACCCACCATCCTCTTCCCTCTTGATTGTCTCCATTTATGTCTTGACCCTGAGCCAAGTGTTCATCTCTCAGGGCTGTGGCTGCAGCCTGTTGAAACATATGCAGAAGCTCCCATCCACAGGCCCAGGGCACTAAAGTCATCGCAGTGCCTTCAGCCTTGCTACATTCTCTGCAGTACCCTAGCAAGGCAGCCAAGCGAGAGCCCCCTCCTATGAGACTTGGTGGGGGCTCTAATTAAACTGAGCAGCTAGAGAGTTTTCCCAGCTGCATCCTGAAAAGATGGCAAGATTTCCCATCGCTTGCCTTCCTGAGCAAAAGCCACTGTTCTAGAAGAGTTGCTCTACCATTGCTTCCTCCCTTCCTGGAGCACCAGCCCTCACAGGAGAGAATATGTATGCAATGTAAGGCTTCCAGGATCTGGCCTGAAGTGCAAGAAATCTGTTTCCCCAGCTTCTCTCACTCTGAGACTTTTTCTCCTGAGCTATTTTTCTTATAAATGATTCTATTTCCAGGTTAGCTCTGGCAACACCACTCCATGGTTTTCCTCTCTCTTTGCTAATTACATCACAGAGCTACTGCATGCTGATTAGAAGGAAAATAAAGCAAAAACAAAACAACGCCTCCACCTGAGCTGGGCCTCCCCTGCAGTTGTCTGTGAACTGGAGCATCTGCCTTTGTGCAGCTGGGCTGCAGGGTGCTGGGTGCTCCTCCTGACTTGCCCTTTATTGCTCATGCATCCTGACCTGAAGATACTCAAGCCACCTCTCCACACCCCAGGATCCTCTTGTTTGAATCGAAAAAAATAACACTGTCTTAGTCCATTCTGGCTGCTATAACAAAATAACATTAACCAGGTGGCTTATAAACAACATAAATGTATTTCTCACAGTTCTGGAGGCTGGGAAGTCCAAGATCAAGGTAGATTTGGTGTCTGCTGAGGAGTCACTTTCTGATTCATAGATGACACCTTCTAACTGTGCCTTCACATGGTGAAAGGGATGAGCTAGCTCTCTGGGGTCTCTTTTATAAGGGCACAAATCCCATTCTTGAGGACTGCACACTCATGACCTAGTCACCTCACAAAGACTCCAACTCCCCAATACCATCCTCTTGGAGATTAGGATTTCAACATATGGATTTTGAGGGGACACAGACACTTAGACCAGAGCACATGCCTGGAAACGGAAGCAATATCCCTCATGATCTTGTTGATAAGATAAAAGGCTACAGATGCCATAGAGCTATGACATTATCAGCAGCTGCATTTTCTTAGCATCTGAACATGAGTTGCCAATCCTAGTCAACCCCTTTGTTAGCTACGTCCTACCCACTTGCTCTCAGCTTATCTTTAGCCATTTCTCATTGTATCTGCAGCCCTCAACCTTTTCTCCCCAAGGCCTATGGCACACACCCTTTTATTGTTGTTGTTATTGTTAACTATAGCAGATTTCCAGTTATATTTTCTGTTATATTTCATATAACAGAAACTTTTACCTATTAAGAAATAATTCATTTCTCCCTTCCCCTAGTCCCTGGCAATCATGATTCTATTCTTTGCCTCTATTAGTTTGACCATTTTAAATATCTCATATGAGCAGAATCATGCAGTATTATGTACTTCTGTGAATGGCTTATTTCACTTGGCGTAATGGAACCCTTTAAACACTGTTTTTGGGAATGTATTATAGAATGATGCGGCCACTATGGAAAACAGTATGGCGGTTCCTCCAAAAATTAAAAATAGAATTACCATATGATCCAGCAATCCCACTCCTGGGTATATATCCAAAAGAATTGAGATCAGAGTCTCAAAGCAGTATCTGTACCCCCATGTTTATTCCAACATTATTCACAATAGGCAAGATATTGTAACACCCCACATGTCCATTAATAGAAGAATGGGTAAAGAAAATGTGGTGTATTCATGCAATGGAATATTATTCAGCCTTAAAAAGAAGGAAATCTTGCCCTCTGTGACAACATGGATGGCATGCACCCTTCATGAATGGGGGCTCACTATGCCTTGTGTTCAAGAGGGCAGTGGGCAGTTTTAAAAAGCCCCCAGTAGGCCGGGTGCGGTGGGTCACACCTGTAATCCCAGCACTTTGGGAGGCCGAGGCGGGCAGATCACAAGGTCAGGAGTTCAAGACCAGCCTGGCCAGCATGGTGAAACCCCATCTCTACTAAAAATACAAAAAAATTAGCCGGGCATGGTGGCACACACCTGTAGTCCCGGGTACTCAGGAGGCTGAGGCAGGAGAATTGCTTGAATTGGGCAGGCAGAGGTTGCAGTGAGCCAAGATCTCGCCACTGCACTCCAGTCTGGGCGACAGAGCAAGACTCCTTCTAAAAATAATAATAATAATAAAATAAAATAAAAAGCCCCCAGTAATGATGCCTATGTCAGAGTGTTTCGGGGGAGAGGTAGGGATATCATATGGCATATATATAAAATATATGTAGGAAAAATTTGTATTCTGGCATATAGCAGGCATTTAATAAACTGTGGCTCTTTTTGCAGAATGTGCCACACAATAGGTAGGAGTAGAAGTTAAAAATTATTATACCACTCTTTCAGAAAGAGTGGTTCAGTTGCTTTAAAACTCCACTATAGACATTGCCAGTTACTAGTGAATCTGTGAGATTCTGGTTCTAGATTACTGCCAAAGGATAGGATTTTTTTTTTATTTTAGACTATTTTTTAAAAGAATTTTGACAACTCATATTCACATTTGTTATAAAGGACAAAAATAGTCTAGAAATGCAGTGATGTGCTAGGGTCCTAGCTCACATCTGCTAGTGAAAGCCTATTGTTAAATTTTTAGGAAATATGGGATCCAGTTGTTAAACATAGCCACTATTAAAAATCAAGGCCGGGCACGGTGGCTCACGCCTGTAATCCCAGCACTTTGGGAGGCCAAGGCGGGTAGATCACCTGAGGCCAAGATATCGAGACCAGCCTGGCCAACATGGTGAAACGCTGTCTCTACTAAAAATGCAAAAATTACCCCAGCATGGGGTCACATGCCTGTAGTCGCAGCTACTCGGGAGGCTGAGGCAGGAGAATTGCTTGAACCAGCAAGGTAGAGGTTGCAGTGAGCTGAGATTGCATCACTGCACTCCAGCCTGGGCGACACAGCAAGACTCCATCTCAAAAATAAATAAATACATAAAATAAAATAAAAATCAGATTATGTAAACTTACAATGAAATATGTCATTTGAAAAACAAAGGTAACAAATACTCAAAACTCTTAAAACTTGTTAATTCCTAATCACTTTACTCTCTGTGCTTCTAAGGTTGTTTGCGTCTGCCATGTCTGTATGGCGGGAATGCCATGCAGTGGGGTCGTGCTGCACATCCCTTCATAACCGTTCAGTAGCATTGCATTGGTAGCTTGAAATCTGCCATGGTGGGACTATTGCAACCTGGAAATGGGAAAACACTACCATCAGGGGATTTCTTTCTTTCTGAAGAGTCAGTTGTTGAACATTTACCAGCATTGCTGAAATATAATAATAATAAATATATATATATATATGACTTTGAGATGGAGTCTCACTCTTGTCACCCAGGATAGAGTGCAATGGTGCGATCTTGGCTCACTGCAACCTCCGCCTCCCGGGTTCAAGCAATTCTCTTGCCTCAGCCTCTCGAGTAGCTGGGACTACAAGCGCGTGCCACCACGCCTGGCTAATTTTTGTACTTTTAGTAGAGACGGGATTTTGCCATGTTGGCCAGGCTGGTCTCGAACTCCTGACCTCAAGTGATCTGCCCGCCTCAGCCTCCCAAAGTGCTGGGATTACAGGCGTGAGCCACCGTGCCCGGCCAATAATATATATTTTTCACATTCCCTGAAAGTAAGTACTGTTGACAGTTTGCAGTCTTGACTTCTGCTTTCCACATATGTAATTATCTATTTCTCTGTATATATGCATATTCTTTTTGAATAGACTTGTTTACTTAAAAATAAAATATTGGGCGTCTTCTACATTAATACAATGGTGTATTTTCTTTCTTGTTAAGAACTGCATAGTTTTGCCATTTGATGGAGGTGCTATAATTCGTTTATTCCATTTTTTATGAGTTGGTATTTTAGCTGTACCTAGGTTTTCCCCTCAATTATAAACAATACCATACATAGATATTCTCATTACCCATGTTTGTTTGTTTGTTTGCTTATGCAAGTATTGGTACACAATAGCTCCTAAGCTATTCTGGTACTGCTATATTAAATGTTATGGATATTTTAAATTCTGATAGATCAAAATTTAAATTTGCCAAATGTGTCAGTTTACAATCGAGATAAAATTTTAAATTAAACAGATGTGTGCATGTTTATGTATGCATGTGATTTGCTTGTTTGTTTTCTGTGTTAGGCACACAGTCTGTGTATTTGCAAAGAATCAGTATTTTGCCAAGGAGCTACTTCATAGGAACCCAACTTGAGCTTTTTCAATTTAGGCAGATGATCTCTGACTAAAAGGTCCAGGTGTTTGAAGCCATGGATCGTTGACCAGTGGCCAAGTGAAACAGAGACATTTCCTTGCTGTGGCTAACTCTGCCTGGCTGCAGCATTCCAACACCTGGATAAGTGAGTTGACCTGGCTTAGTATTTACACGGGGGTGGCCGTTCCTGAAAATGTGTCTGCCCTACTCTGCTGACCCATACAAGGTCAGGGGTTTTCTCTGTCACTCACTCAGGTCTTTAGCATTGCAAGAGCTAACAGGAGTTACGACCCAAGCATCCAGACACCTGTATGGTTCAGTGTGCAGTAGAAGGGAAAGAAGGAAGGATATGATCCTAAATCTTCCTGACTTAAGGAAAATAATCTGGCCATCATTCAGAACGTGGTTTCCTTGAAGACACATTTGTGATGGGAAGAGGCACTTGATTTCTCTGGGGCCTCTCAGGTTCACAGTACTAATTGCTTAGATTTGATTCATGCTTTCACGTGCACCAGCTCATATAATTCCCATTCTACAGAGGAAGCTGATGGAGGCTCAGCAAGGTTCGTTGATTTTGCAAGTTAGCAGAGCCAGTAAATGTCAGAGCCCAGTGCTTAAGCCTACCTTGCAATCTCTTTCTGGGCCTTCAGTGCTTGAGAGTGGTTGGTAGAGCAGTATATGAGTCCATTCTCACACTGCTATAAAAAAAAAATACCTGAGACTGGGTAATTTATAAAGGAAAGAGGATTAACTGACTCACAGTTCCACATGGCTGGGGAGGCGTCAGGAAACTTATAATCATGGTGGGAGATGAAGGGGAAGCAAGGATCTTCTTCACATGGCAGCAGGAGAGAGAAGACTGAGCATCAAAGGGGGAAGAGCCCCTTATAAAACCATCAGATCTCGTGAGAACTCACTCACTGTCACGAGAACAGCATGGAGGAAACCGCCCCCCGCCCCCATGATTCAGTCACCTCCCATCATATCTCTCCCTAGGCATGTGGGGATTATGGGGATTACAATTCAAGATGCGATTTGGCTGGGGACACAGCCAAACCATATCAAGCAGTTACTTAGCTCTGGGGATTTTTCTAGCTCCCTCCCCAGTCTATAGGTTAGAGAGCTATGGACCGTCATAACAACGTCGTGCTGTCTACTAAATTTACAGTAGTACTTGCCATCATGGCTGCATGTTGGAATCACCTGGGAGATTTGAAATAATCCTGGCATCCCAGGGCTTATCTCAGACCACTTAAATTAGAACCTCTAGGGTGAGACTCTTCCTTCAGTAGTTCGTAAAACCAAGCAGGTGATCCCTATATACTGGACAGGCATGTCCTCCTTTCCTTCCAAAGCCTGCATTATAAAGACACCATTTGTAATGTAGCCACTCTGTACCTGCTTTCCCTCTTCATTACCTATACCCTATTTTTCTAGCCATCACTGAACTCCTAGACTCCATAGCTGCTTGAATTTGTGGACATTCAACCAAGATTTCTTATCTTTTTTTTTTTTTTTTTTTGAGATGGAGTCTCACTCTGTCGCCCAGGCTGGAGTGCAGTGGCATGATCTTGGCTCACTGCAACCTCTGCCTCCCAGGTTCAAGTGATTCTCCTGCCTCAGCCTCCCAAGTAGCTGGGACTAAAGGCGTGTGCCACCACACCTAGCTAATTTTTTGTATTTTTAGTAGAGATGGGGTTTCATTGTGTTAGCCAGGATAGTCTCAATCTCCTGACCTTGTGATCCACCCACCTCAGCCTCCCCAAGTGGATTTCGTTTTATTATTATTATTAACTGTGCATAATGTCACACCCCATGCTGGACTCTGGGGATGCTTCAGTGGGTAAAAGAATCCTAGCCTCAGACTGCTGACTGTCAAGTAACAGCTACAGACACAAGCCATTTGGATGCAGAAGTGCCCTGATGGAGAAAGCCCTTAGACAACTGGGAAAAGGGGACAGGCAGTGATGTACCATCAGTGGCTTATTTACATCCCTATTGTTGCCTGGATCCTGACCTGCTATACTATGCTTTCCCCTGGGGCTGCCAGTGACATCACATAGAGAAAGAGACCAGCCTCCTCCTCCTCCTTCCGTCTCAGGGTAAGCTGTTCCCTGTCATCCACCATTATGCTTCAATAGCCCCTCCTTGTCCCCCTGAGCCCTTGCCTGCCGCATCTCCTTTATTGCATATTTGACATTTCACCACAGCAGATCAGATGTATTTGAATCAGAATGGCACACAGGGCCCCTGAATTGGTTGGCAGAGCCCTATGGGACTGCTCCAAGTGAAGGGAATCTCCATGAAGACAATTATCCAAGAGAAATAGCCTATCTCAGCAGGCATCGTTCTGCTTTGCTTATTGAGCCAACATTTATGAAGCATAGACTTCATACCGAGCTCAATGCAAACAGACTCACCTCTAGCAAGGCTCAAGGGAGGCAACAAAAGAAATAGAAAACACGGCCCTTGTCAACAAACCTAGGATTAAGTTGGAGTGGCCGGGCGAATATACTGAGGAAACATTGGTTTTCTTTTTTAACCCTTTTCGAAGTCTATTTAATGTCTGCCTACTGAATATTTAATTATTAACAACAGGAGTTGACCCCCCCTGGCCATTTTTGTATGTCCCACGCTGGGTTTTTCCATTTTCAGATAGTTAAGGCAAAAAGAAAAAAAAAAAAAAAGACAAGTCTATTTTGTGGCACATGAAAATCATATGAAATTCTAATTGCAGTGTCCATTAATAAAAGTTTTGTGGGCTCACAGCCACAGCATTCATTTTTATTTTGTCTATGGCTGTATGAAAGTTGTCAGGATCAAGATGGAATCACTAATATTAGAAAACCCTGATAAATAGGGGAAGGCCACGAAGACATGATTCTCACACTTATATGCCTGATAATGAAACAGACTCTACAAAAAACACAGCCTTGCACAAACACCTCACGACCTTACACAAAAACATGTGTGCAAGGACATCTGCCTCTCCAACCTCGGACCAGTGTCATCCTTATCATTGATCTTTGTAGCCAAAGATAATTACTCAAAACAATTATGTACTCCTCCTTATTTTTTCCTTTAAAAATGTTTATCTTTGGCTGGGCTTTGTGGCTCAAGCCTGTAATCCCAGCACTTTGGGGGCCGAGGCGGGTAGATCACCTGAGGTCAGGAGATCGAGACCATCCTGGCCAACATGGCAAAACCCCGTCTTTGTTAAAAATACAAAAAAAAATTAGCTGGGCGTGGTGTTGCACGCCTGTAATCCCAGCTACTTAGGAGGCTGAGGCAGGAGAACCTCTTGAACCCAGGAGGCAGAGGTTGCAGTGAGCCGAGATCGTGCCACTGCACTCCAGCCTGGGCGACAGAAAAAGACTCCGTCTCAAAAAAAAAAAAAAAAAGTTTATCTTCCTTACCACCCTGAATGCATGCAGACTTTACTATGACATGTGTATTCCCATTACAATATTTAATTCCCAAATAAACGTATTTTCTTTTACAGAGTGTCTCTCTGCTTATTATTTAGATTGACAGCTGCTTTGAGGCTGCAAAGACAGAAATTAAGTAGTTGCAACAGAGTCCTTTTCGCTTCCAAAGCCAAAGATACATACTTATTGGCCCTTTCAGAAAAAATTTGCTGACCGAGGTCCACAGCATAGCAGAAAGCATGGTCTCGGGAGCAGACTTGGTTAGGATCTTGCCTGCACCAGTTAGCTTTCCACATCTAGTGAATAGGAATAATAACATGTTCTTAATAGGCTGAGATTGAATAAAGCCACTGTAAAGGAAACATAAACCCCAGTTATTTAGAACTAGTATTGATGCCTAGTAAATATTGGTTACCTTCACCCACCTTAATTATATACAAATATAATTTCCTATATAGGCACAAAAAGAAAGATAGAATTACCTGAGGCTAATCCTACTCTCAACTGGAAAGATATGCACAAGAAATAGAGGGAAAGGGAATGAGACTAATACATTCATTGGATACTTTATAATAGCAGAGTCTTCTTACTCTTGTTCAATCCTTTATTCCCCAGCAGTTAGAGCTGTCCTGCTGGGCACAGTGGTGCACACCTATAGTTCCCGCTACTTGGGAGGCTGAGTCAAGAGAATCTCTGGAGCCCAAGAGTTCAAAACTGTAGTGTGCGATGATCGTGCTTGTGAATAGCCACTGCACTCCAGCCTGCTCAACATAGTAAGACCCAGTCTCTAAAAAAGTAATAATAGAGTGGTCCCTGGCATATGGTATAGGCATAGAGTTCAGTATATATTATATGCATTTTCAGCCAGGCGTGGTGGCTCATGCCTGTAATCCCAGTACTTTGGGAGGCTGAGGTGAGTGGATCACCTGAGGTCAAGAGTTCAAAACCAGCCTGGCCAACATGGTGAAACCCCGTCTCTGCTAAAAATATAAAAATTTGCTGGGCGTGGTGGCGGGTGCCTGTAATCCCAGCTCCTTGGGAGGCTGAAGCAGGAGAATCGCCTGAACCTGGGAGGTGGAGGTTGCAGTGAGCCAAGATCGTGCCATTGCACTCCAGCCTGGGTGACAAAGGCGAAACTCCTTCTCAAAAAATAAATAAATAAATGCATTTTCACATTCAGCCCTCTTAATAATTGATATAGTTGTCAAACATTTTACTTATGGAGTCATCATCAGGATGAGGCCCCAAATTCCACTCCTCCACACACCACCACACAGCCCTGGGCATGCCAACTTCTCTGTGCCAGTGTTCACACCTGAAAATGCGGATAATGGGAAAACGTGTGGCAGAGGGTCGTCTCGAAGACTGAATGAGATCTAAAGTGTGCTAGATACCTCTGCAACCCAAAAGAGGGAAGGGCA